>NW_025791789.1:0-300000 GCF_000001405.40 Homo sapiens
GAATTCACACTATCTATGGGCCTGAGAAATACCAGGATGGAAATTAGCCTCTGGCAGTGAGAGGTTAGGCCAGCTGCACTTCCTGGGTCGAGTGCGGACTTGGGGAACTTTCCTGTCCTACAAGGAATTTGTAAAATGCACCAATCAGCCTCTGTAAAACACACCAATCAGCAGGATTCTAAAAGTAGTCAATAGTGGAGAGGATTGAAAAAAGGGCACTCTGATAAGACAGAAACACAACATGGGTGGGAAGAAATAAGGGGATAAAAGCTGGCCACCCGCAACCAGCAGCAGCAACCAGGTGGGGTCACCTTCCAGGGTGTGGAAGTTTTGTTCTTTCGCTCTCAGCAATAAACCTTCCTAGGCTCACTTTTTGGTTCCGTGCCATCTTTAAGAACTGTAACACTCACCAGGAAGGTCCACAGCTGCATTCTTGAAGTCAGGGAGACCACGAACCCACCGGAAGGAACCAACTCTGGACACAGTCCTGCAAACTAGTTAATCTGAGTACAATCATAAAGAGAAATATATTTTGCACTAATACTGGGAAACAGATTTTGTAACACAGCTTTCATTGTTGTTAAGTGAAGATAGTATATTTTACAATAAGCAACACTGGGACCACTGATCTCCATAAGGGAAAAAAATGAAATTGAAACTTAATCCTGGAGAACAAACATAAAAATATATTTTAACGGATAAAGATAGCTTCTCAACATTTTTAGAAAAAAACCTGGGAAGAATTATTTTTTTCTTTTTTGAGATGGAGTCGCTCTGTTGCCCAGGCTGGAGTGCAGTGGCGCGGTCTTGGCTAACTGCAAGCTCCACCTCCTCTCCCATGTTCATGCCATTCTCCTGCTTGAGCCTCCGGAGTAGCTGGGACTACAGGCGCCCGCCACCCCGCCTGGACTAATTTTTTGTATTTTTACTAGAGACAGGGTTTCACCGTGGTAGCCAGGATGGTCTCGATCTCCTGACCTTGTGATCTGCCCACCTCGGCCTCCCAAAGTGCTGAGATTACAGGCGTGAGCCACCGCGCCCGGCCATATCTTTTATCTTTACCTGGGGAGGAAGAACAAACTGAAAGAGGAAAAATTGATTTGATAACACAAAAATTTAATACTTCTGTTTATTAAAGGATACTGCAATGTGAAAAAAAATACCCAAAACTTGGCAGAGCTATTTGCAACACATCTTACCTAGAAAGGTCTGGTATCCAGAATATGCCTCCTATAAATAAGTGAAAAATAACATGTCTGTTGAGAAGTTAGCACAAATATCCCATAAGCATGTAAAAAGTGCTCAACCTCATAATAATCATGAAAATGAAAATTAACAATTAGATATCCTTTCACACATATTGACAATTTTTTTATGAAGTTCCGAAACGTGTGGTATTGGCAAGGATAAAGAAACATGGAAGTATTCATCCCACACACTAAAGTAGGACAGCCATTTGGAAAACAGACAGATGCTGGCTCATACAGCTGATCATAATGTACCCTATGACCCAGTGACTTCACTACAACCTAGTGCAACCTAGTCAGCCTGTTACAGGCCCCAGAAAAATTCTTGCATTTGTTTACCTAGAGATATATGAGAATGTTCCCAATTTCAAAAACCTGGAAACAATCTAGTTATCTCTCAATATGGGTAGATAGTGGACTGGGTAACTAAATGATCATATATTCCGATAATAGAGTACCTCGCAGCACTAAGAGTGAATGAACTGCAGCTATTCACATTCTCAAATACAGCACTGCAATGAGATACTACTGCATGCGTATTAGAAAGGCAAAAATCCAGAACCCTGACAACACCAAATGCTGATGAGGATGTGAAGCAACAGGAGCTCTCATTCAGTGCTGATAGAAATACAAAATGGAGAACAGTTTTGTGGCTTCTTAGAAAACTAAATCTACTCTTATTATACGACCCAGCAATCTTGTTTCTTGGTATATATCCAAAGGAGTTGAAAACTTATGTCCACACAGAAACCTGCACACAGATGTTTATGGAAGCTTTATTTATAATTGCAAAAACTTGGAGACAAGCAAGATTTCCTTCAGTAGGTGAATTAACAAACTGTGGTACATCCAGACAATTGAATATCATTCAATGATAAAATAAATGAGCTGTTGGCCGGGTGAGATGGCTCACGCTTGTAATCCCAGCACTTTGGGAGGCCGAGGCAGGCAGATCACGAGGTCAGCACATAGAGACCATCCTGGCTACCACGGTGAAACCCCGTGGCTACTAAAAATACAAAAACTTAGCCAGGTGCAGTGGCAGGTGCCTGTAGTCCCAGCTACACGGGAGGCTGAGGCAGGAGAATGGCGTGAACCCGGGAGGTGGAGCTTGGCTTGCAGTGAGTGGAGATCACGCCACTGCCCTCCAGCCTGGGCGACAGAGCAAGACTCCCTCTAAAAAAAAAATAAAAAAATAAAATAAATAAAATAAAAAATAAAAAGAGCTGTCAAGCCACGAAAAGACACAGAGGACGCTTATATGCATATTACAAAGTGAAAGAAGCCAATCTAAAACGGCTACATACTGTCACTTCCAACTATATGACCTTTCTGGAAAAGGTAAAACTATAGAGATAGAAAAAAAAAAATCAGTGGTTTCCAGGAGTTAGGAGGAAGAGAGGAATGAATAACTAGAGCACAGAGGATGCGTAGGGCCCTGAAAGTACATGTATGATATTTTAATAGTGAATACTTGTCATTGTAAATTTGTCCAAGCCCAAGTGTGAACCTTAATGCAAACTATAAGATGTATCATGTATCATTAATTGTAACAAATGCAGCACTCTGGTGGGGGGCGTTTATCATGAGAGAAGCTATGCATGTGTGGGGGGCAGGGAGTATATGGGAAATCTATACCTTCTGCTCAGTTTTGCTGTGAACTTTAAACTGCTCTAAAAAATAATGTGTGTGTACATGTGTGTATATATATATATATATATATATATATATGCATACACATGTTTGTGTGTATGCATATCTAATCACAAGAAACAATACATAGTTGGCCAGGCACGGTGGCTCACGCCCGTAATCCCAGCACTTTGGGAGGCTGAGGTGGGCAGATCATGAGGTCAGGAGATCGAGACCATCCTGGCTAACACGGTGAAACCCCGTCTCTACTAAAAAAAATATAAAAAATTAGCCAGGCGTGGTGGTGGGCACCTGTAGTCCCAGCTACTCGGGAGGCTGAGGCAGGAGAATGGCATGAACCCGGGAGGCGGAGCTTGCAGTAAGCGGAGATCACGCCACTGCACTCCAGCCTGGGCAACAGAGGGAGACTACGTCTCAGAAAAAAAACAACAAGAAACAATACACAGTTTCACTTATTAAAAAAGTCAAACATGTGCAAAACTAAACAATATGCAAGTCTATAATGACAAGCAATGGAATGATTAACAGGAAGTTAGGGATAGTGGTTACCTCTTGTGGAAAGAGTGAGTGGCATTGAAGAAGGGCAATGGGAGTTTCTAAGATACTGGAAATATTCTATTTCATAACCTGAAGGAAGGGCGCATATGCTCATTTTATATTCTTCTTAAGCTGTACACACACACTTTTATATTTATGATCTATTTCATTAAGTAACAAGACATATATATGCATTTGTAAATAAGTGAGATTAACACATTTTTGGATACATATAACATATCAAAGTTGACTCAAACAATTAGAAAATCTAGATGGAAATCATACCATTAAAGTAATTGAGTTAATAATTAATAATTCTACAAAGAAAACATGATGCCTAGATGATGTCACCAGTAGCTCCAATGTTACACTAATAATCTGCGAGGGGAAAAAAAAGAGACCATTCTTTAATTCATATGATACTAGGATAACCTTGCTATGGTGTACCTCATCCATGCACACAGACAAATAGTGTAAACAAAATACTAGGAGGTATACCTAGCAAAGTATAAAAACCATGAACAAGCTCGGTTAGTAATGCAAATTTAGTTCAGTGTTAGAAAATCTACTGAAATTATCTCCTTATCAACAAATTAAAGACAAAAATTATATGATTGTCTCAAAAGGCCTATAAAATTATTTTACAGCTGGGCACAGTGGCTCACGTCTGTAATCCCAGCACTTTGGGAGGCTGAGGCGGGTGGATCACGAGGTCAGGAGATTGAGACCATCCTGGCTAACACAATGAAACCCTGTCTCTACTAAAAAAAAAAAAAAATTAGCTGGACGTGGAGGCGGGCGCCTGTAGTCCCAGCTACTCGGGAGGCTGAGCCAGAAGAATGGTGTGAATCCGGGAGGCGGAGCTTGCAGTGAGCCGAGATCCCGCCACTGCACTCCAGCCTGGGCCACAAAGTGAGAATCCCTCTCAAAAAAAAAAAAAAAAAAAATTTACAAAAATTAAATTATTGATATTTCCACCTATGAATAAAGGGTAACTTCCTTAACCTGATAAAAGGAGTCGACAAATAACCTACAGCACCTATCATGTTTTGTGATTAAAAATATTGAAATCACTCCTTTTAAAATCAAGAAAAAGACAAGAGTACCATTGTCACTAAACTGCTTCCAAAGCTTATACGGAAGAGAAAAGGGCCCAGTATAACTAAGACAATCCCATAGAAGACTAAAGTGTGCGAAGGTGGGAGGTGGAGCTTATGTGAGTCTATCTCGTACCAGATTTGCTGTGAAGTTATAATTACCACAGCAGGAATTGCTATTGTGAAAGTGTATGCTTGTGTGAAATCTTGATGTATGCCCTGGCTAACATTACAGAACAGTCAGAAAGGGTCTATATGATCCATGGTATGAGCAATTGGTATCCATATGGGAAAATATCAGAATGCATCTCTATCCCAAAAATGGATCCCTATCACACAAAGGCCAGATCTAAATGGACAAAGGACTTAAATTTGAGATGCAAATATTTAAAAATCTTTTAGAAGAAAATATAAGAGGGTAACTTATTACATGCCACACCTACTATGTGTACTTTGTACGATGCAAGTGTTGGATATGAGTGTAGTATGTAAGTGTAGATGCCTCTAAGCAGTATATGCATGCTTGCTACTTTACACACGTGAAACACTGGGAATGGGAGCATGAGAGGAAACCCTAGGTCATTCTGGTCTCCAGACTGCTGCTCCTGCCCACCCCCGGTTCCAGCACTCCCTTCCCCATTCTCCTATCCAGATCCTCTGTTCCAGGCACAGCCACTTACAGCAGCTCAAGCCAGTGGCACCCACGGAGAGGCCCTCTTCACCCTACTGCTGGGCTGTCATGTCCCCTTTCTTTTCTTTCTGAAAAACAGTTTTCTCTGCCTATGACTCCTCATGTTTCACTCTCTCTAAAGCACACGGAAGCCTGGTTCCCTCCTCTGCTTTATCAGACCTGTTGCTGTGAGTTCCACTAGTGACCCTGCATGACAAATTCGGAGGTTTGCTCCCTTTTGCATAGCATAAAATGTTTACCTCGTGACATACTTGATAAATACAATTTTATAATTGTTAAGCTATCTATATATTCTGTATCTGTTTCAAAAATTATTTATAGGCGAGGCAAGGTGGTTCATGCCTGTAATCTCAGCAGTTTGGGAGGCTGAGGCGAGAGGATCATGAGGTCAGGAGATCGAGGCCATCCTGGACAACATGGTGAAACTCTGTCTCTACTAAAAATACAAAAATTAGCTGGGTGTGGCAGCATGCACCTGTAATCCCAGCTACTCAGGAGGCTGAGGCAGGAGAATAGCTTGAACCCAGGAGGCGGAGATTGCAGTGAGCCAAGATCGTGTCACTGCACTCCAGCCTGGCGACAGAGTGAGACTGCGTCTTCAGCCCCCCCAAAAATATAAAGACAATGTCAATTATGCCACACATAGGTTGTTTTTATTCCATAATATTGCTCTCCATATGTGTAATATGTTTCTACTTCACACATAGTTTTGATCAAAGATTAATCTATTGCACAGATATTTTTCTTAGTAATTAATAAAACTCAGCTTGGATTTCTTTAGCTAGATAAAACACCTTATACTAAGTGAATCAATCAAAGCTCTTTGTTGGAGTGAGATCTGAAAACTTTCGCTCAAGCTGGCTGCCTCAGCTTCACGGCATCAAATAATGGAGGGAGAAGTGGAGGCTGACATGCAGCAAGAATGACTGTGTGTGTGCTGGAGAGATATTTTGTTTAATTCATTTACAAGATACTCATGCCACACTGCTATGTGCCAAACAGCTGTTCTTGCTACTTGGTAAAAATTAATCATCTAATAGTTGAAAAGTTAATTGTTGTAATGTGACTTCAGTACGGCCAATCTCCAGGATTGAGAGCCAAAAAAAAGCATCACCATCATGATTGAGAAATGGAGTTACTGGCAGTAATGGAGCAAACCACGATTCTGCACTTGGACACAGAATTATTCCTGACAAGATCCTGGCTCCTAACTCTTCCACCAAAACCGAGTCTGCAGCTCCCACACTGAAATGCTGCTCATTTCACCCCAAGTGTGTTCCAGCCGTTCCTTCTTCTTCTCCTTCCTACCAGCTCTGTAATGTCTCCATCACAATGCTAAGGTCAGGGTCAATGGCACTTCGTTTCAGAAACTTTCTGAGAGCCCTGGAAAGTAATCTCTTCTTGTTCTTATTCTATGATCTCCTGCACCTTCTTTAAATCACTGATGATCATTTGTGTAGATGAGTTGTCTCCGTGTGTGTCTGACCTTTCTCCCAGTTGGTGAGTTTTGGAATCCAGGAAACATTTTAGTAAAGTAATAGTTTTTAGTAATTTAGTTCACCTCTGTGCACCCTACAGCCGTTTCTCACATGTTGGGGCTGCCCAGTGAGCACTTGTTGAGGGAAACTGCAGGGAGACTTGCAGGTCAGCTTCACTGAGCCAGAAAGTGAAGCAAACTGAGAGGGCAAAGTGCAAGACACTGGCTGAAATATATGAACACACTGGGGAAACAAACATTCCCGGCCTCTGTGGAGGTGGAACACAGTCGCTGAGGTCTGTGATTCAGCAGCACCCACCTGGCAAAGCATGCTCAGCATCGGGCTTCGTTCTCCCATAGTGCTTTCATGGCAAGGAAGAAAAGCTATACATACTAACATGGGCCAGCTGGAAACCACAACTATATAGTATTTCTTTTCAGCTTTTCAGCTGGAATTCCGAAAGAACTCTGAGGTCATGTAGAGTGCGGCATACTGTTAGATGGGGCCTGGGTGGGCTTGGTGTTACAGGACCTGCCCCAGGTCATGGTCTGTGGTGCGGAGGGAGGGTGTGATTTCCCATCCCCTTCTTATCTCTTTGTCCCATACTTTTTGCCCTGTACACACATGATCGTCCTCAATATCTTAAGTGGGATCTCCCATATAGCTAAAATTGATATTGGCATCTGAAGTATGCCTAACTTAGCTGAATATTTGGCCTTTGCCTTTAAAGGATCTGTAAGCTATTGGGATGAGACCAGGGAGAAAAAGGAAGACCATAGATAACTCAAGCATAATCTGCCATCCAATAATTTCATGACATGCTTATCCTTGGAATAAAGTTGGACTGTTGTCAGGAAACTGTCCCACCATTTTTTTTGCATGTAGAGACCTCCATCGCTATGGCCTCCATTGTAATGGGCTGTCATTGGGTTTGAAAAAAGTCTACATGTTGATTTTCATGGCAATAAAAGAGTCAGAGGTGCAAGCTGGAGCAAGGTGCTCGCCAAAGCTAGGCCTTTCCCCTCCCTCAGGAACTGGCAACAAGAGCAAGAGTTAGCTTCCTGAATGTTTGCATTTCAAAGAGACAGCTCTCAGGTCTTTGGGGAGACAATTCTGGGATGTAGATTTACACTTCAAAGGCAGAGAAAAGATTTATAATTGCAAGCTTTCTAAGGTTCTAAGAGGGGATTCAGGGCTCTACCTGCCCATCACCAGGTTTTGCCTGAAACAAACAGTAAATTCTCCTTGCAAGTGAGCTTTCTCAGGCAGTCATTTTAAGGAGGGCTGGGGTCATCCGTGGGACATCCTTGTGCTGCTGGAAGCCTCACTAGAGTTTGGTCCTCTCTTTGGACAGGGGTTTGGAAGGAGTAGTTAAGTACTGCGAGGCCTGCGTTCTCATGACCAAAGTTCACAAATGCCCATTTCCTTCTTTCTTTCTTTTTCTTTTTTTTAATATTTAAAAATCTTTATGTGTCTATTAACACCTTTTGGAAATTTCCATCCCTTTCAAACTATGTTCCAGTCAAACAAAACAAAGTGTGGCCCAGCAGCCCTGGGGAGTCTCTGGGTGAAGGGGAGATGAGCACACAAATGTTGAGAGTTTGAGAACCCCTGGCCTTGATCTTTATGATAGTTGGTCAAGTGGTCATCAGTGAAATCCACAGGGATTCCCTGAGAGTGTATAGCTTTGGCATGATGGTTGCTGTAATCTGAAGGGGAAAGTAGAAGTTTACATGTGAGTACTGAAGAAGCTTGAGACTGTCTCGCTCTGTCACCCAGGCTGGATGCAGTGGGGCCTTCTGGGCTCACTGCAACCTCCACAATTCTCCTGCCTCAGCCTCCCCAGTAGCTGGGATTACAGGTGCCTGCCACCACATCTGGCTAATTATGTTTTTCTTTAAAATTAGTTTTATTTAAAAAGTACAAGTAGCATCTTACTTTTACTTTTGCAAAAAGTAAAGAAATGGTGTTTCGTTGCAAAAATTAAACAAATAAATTTTGGATTGTAGAAAATTCATTAAAAACTCAAATTTTAATTTATTTAAAATCTATCTGGTGCTGTAAGTGTGGCTATTGGCAGATCTCTTTTTATTTATTTTTATTGATTTATTCATATTATCAATAACTAATTTTTAAATTATTATTCGTGAGCCCTTTCCCATGACAGCTTCTTGGAAATTTCTTTCTCTCCCATTAATCTAGTATGATCTCTCAGGCATATTTATTTAAAGTTCTTCCTCTCACTATTCCCTTCTTCACCATCATGCCTAGGTTAGTTACAAAGAACTAATTTAATGACCCATTTATTCTGAAGGGAGGCACAAGAAGTGAAGCTTCTTTCTGAGGCCTGAAGGGATCTCACCTCCTTAAATCTCTGTTTTCCTACCCCTACTTCAGATATTATTGAGACATTATATTTTCTTCCTCTACCTTCAGAAACTTCAGTATCAACAGGTCCAGATCTGCCTAAGCCCTCAGATGAGTCTGCAAACAATCATTGTGTCAACATTTGACTCATGCCTTGCAGATGATCCCAGGCACCGCTGTCTTAACCTGTGAAAACCGCAAATTCTTGGCACAAACAACTTCTTCTGCACATCCCTCCTCCTCATACATACAGTAAGGGACTTGGCCAAATTCCAACACAGCCTCTATCAGCTCAGAGCCACGTCCCTACGATGCCCCATACCCCTCTAAAGCACCTGCCTGGGAACATTCAATTCTGCCAAAAGAATTTACTGTTTGTCCCACCCAAAACTTGACTATAGGCCCCTGACCTCCCATTTCTAAGAGCTTTAACTTTAGAAAACTTGCAATTATGGCCAGGCGTGGTGGCTCAAATCCCATCACTTTCGGAGGCTGAGGAGGGTGGATCTTGAGGTCAAGAGAGCAAGACCATCCTGGCCAACATGGTGAAAACCCGTCTCTACTAAAAATACAAAAATTAGTTGGGCGTGGTGGCACACACATGTAGTCCCAGCTACTTGGGAGGCTGAGGCAGGAGAATCACTTGAACTTGGGAAGCGGAGGTTGCAGTGAGCCGAGATCGCCCCACTACACTCTAGCTTGGTGACAGAGTGAGATTCCGTCTAGAAAAAAAAAAAAACACAAAAAAACAGAAAACCTGTAGTTATAAACCTTTTCTCTGTCCCTTTAAATCTCCTATAACACAGAATGTCTTTCTCAAAGACTTAGGAGCTATCCCTTTGGACTATAAGGATCAAGAAGGATACAGGATTGTCTCCTGGTCTCTGTCTCTGCGTAGGAACCTAACTTTGATAAGCACTATTAGCAAACACAGATGGCCTCATCACATTGACCAACCTTTCCCCAAACATCAGTCCATGCTTTTCCTTTAGCACACTCCAACATTTGCAGAGCCTCTTGCTTTTTGTTTCAGTGGAGTTGAGGCTTTCTAACATACTATAAATTGATATGTCTACTTATTGATTAGAAGACAGAAATTAATCACTGGATTTCATTATCACGCTGACTTTTAGGATTAAAAGCAGCCTGTGGTTACAGATGCAACATCTTTACATTTCGAAGAAAAACAGGAGAGATTTGTCTTTGGCTCCTTTGGACCTCACTGAGTAATAGAAAAGAGAGAATTGAACAGGTTTGGATGATACAGCACAAGTCAGTTTAAAGTTCCAGGCAAAGAAAGCAACGGTTATTTTTCACTCCAGAGAGTGAATCATTCTTTGGGGCCACAAAAGAGAAGATTTGAAGAATAAGCAGGGACATCTAGAAGGTGGCTGAGTGTACTCCATCGGGTTAAATTAAGCTATTTTGTTGTTGTTGTTCAAATAGCTTCCCCACACGGTACATTTCATATCTAAAGTGCTATTCCCTCTCCCATCATTTTATTACGTATGCAATATCTGGCTGAGAACCTCTGTCTTGCCCTCCTTCTTACTGGTTAAGAACACAGACAGTCCTCTCTTTGCACAGCAGTGCAGGGCCATACAAATCACTATGTAAGCTAAAGATCTGTAAAGTGACCTAAATAATCCATGTGAAACATCGACTGTTCTGTGTCATTTAAAAATTTTGGCCAAAACATTAAAAATCTCTTACTGTTGGTTATAAATGTATAAGGAAATGAAACATAGTGAAATTAGTACTTTTTTTTTTTTTTTTTTTGAGATGGAGTCTCGCTCTGTCGCCCAGACTGGAGTGCAGTGGCACGATCTCGGCTCACTGCAAGCTCCACTTCTTGGGTTCAAGCGATTCTTCTGCCTCAGCCTCCCAAGTAGTTGTGGCATGCCACCACACCAGGCTGATTTTTTCTATTTTTAGTACAGACAGGGTTTCACTGTGTTAGCCAGGATGATCTTGATCTCCTGACCTCATTATCCGCCTCAGCCTCCCAAAGTGCTGGGATTACAGGAGTGAGCCACCGTGCCTGGTTGGGAGTACTTCATTTTTACACTGTAATTTAAAACATTAAACAACAGCCAATTAAAGTGCTTTATTTATTTATAGACGTATATCAAGCCCAGTTTGAACAGTGCTTGCCTCCCTCTTGTCGTATAGCTTATGATAAGGAGCCAGCAGTGTTTCTATGCCTTGGTGAACTGTCGTGCTGTTTTCGGAACAGCATCTAACATTGTCAACATTGTCATGCAATATCTACAAGAGTTCCTTTAATATGAAGTTTGTTGCTGTCTTTGCCGGCATCACTTCCTCTGGGGCTTCTTCATCCTTTTCATCACAGCTGCGTTCCTCATTTATGTCAGAACACTGCGTTGCGCCGAGTTCCTCTTGCTGCATTTCCTGTGGTGAGCCAATTCTATGATTCCATTTACATTGTATTTGAATACACTTCCAGGGTTATCACATTTTTTATTTCTTTGCTGCACATCAATGGTTGTTGACCAGTTTTTTCTTCTGATTATTCATATTTATAAATGTCACATGGGTTTCTCACTGGGAGACAAGGAGTCAACACGATTGCAGACTTTGCTGTCTGTGTGCAAACTAGCAGATGCACAGTGAGCAGTCACTGACAGGCTTTGAAGGAAGTGAATTGTGTCCCCCTAAAAAGATATATTTGAAATCCTAATCCCCAATATCTCAAAATAATATGATCTTATTTGGAAATAGCACATTTACAGAGGTTCTCAAGTTAAAATGAGGTCATTAGGGTGGGTCCTAATCCAATAGACTAACTGGTGTCTTATAATAAAGGAGAATTTGGATACAGCTCCAGACACACACACAAAAAAAGACGATGTGAAGACACATAGAGAAAACAGAGTGATATATCTATAGATCAGACAACAACAAGGATGGCTGGCAAACCCAAACAGGAAGGAGAGGGGAAGAAGGATTCTCCCCTAGAGCCAGCAGAGAGCATGAACCTGCCAACACATTGATTTCTGACTTCTAGCCTCCACAACTACGAGTCAATACATTTCTGTTGTTTTAAGCAACCCGGCTTTTCATACTTTGTTGCAGCATCCCCACAAGATTAATACAGTCCCTAATCATGATGCTTGCCTGTTATTTACTCACATAGGCATTTGTGGAATTAAGAGCTGGGAACGAAGTTTGGATTTTATGCAGTTGCTCACAGTTAGCATATTGTGGTAACTGAAATTGTAACCACGTTTTTGGGAGACTAGTGCTATTTAACTAAACTATGTTAATTAAACCTGTGCATATTCAAATGTGCAAAGCCAGGACTGTTTTTACTTAGTTCAGGTATTTAGAGGGAAAGAATGTTTGCCTCTTTTCAGGGCCTTAGAGCATGCCCTGTGCCAGCAGGCCCCTTCCACAGCTACTTAACATCTCTTCTCATCTTGCCAGCCACCTCTCAACTCAGATGACCAGCAAGGCCATCTTTGACTATCAAAATGAAGTAGCCCCTCTCCGCTTTTGACTACGTTCACTTGCTTTATTGTCTTTATAGCATTTTTATTTACTAAAATAACATTTTTTTCATTACTTGATTTTTTTCTTGATTCAGTACTTCTAAAAAATGCAGATTAAAATTCCAATGACAAACCAAGTTAACTAATGTTAAAAAGTGTGATACTGGCCAGGCACGGTGGCTCATGCCTGTAATCCCAGCATTATGGGAGGCTAAGGCAGGCAGATCACAAAGTCAGGAGATCGAGACCAACCTGGCTAACACGGTGAAACCCCGTCTCTAACAAAAATACAAAAAATTAGCCGGGCGTGGTGGTAGGCACCTGTGGTCCCAGCTACTTAGGAGGCTGAGGCAGGAGAATGGTGTGAAACCAGAAGGCGGAGCTTGCAGTGAGCCGAGATCACGCCACTGTACTCCAGCCTGGGTGACAGAGCGAGACTCTGTCTCAAAAAAAAAAAAAAAAAACAAACTGTGATACTATTAGGTATTGTTGAGAATATAGATCTATCAGAACCTTTAACTTCTCATGGGAGCATAAATCGGAAAACAGTTCATTTTAACTTAGTGTACAAATCTTTTGACACAATGATTTGAATGTTGGGTTTATACCTTAGAGAAAATCTAACTCTTATGTCCAGGAGACTCATACAAGAAAAGGACATCTACTTTTTGTAACAGAAAAAAATGGATAATAACCCCAATCTAATAAAATGGAATGCTCATTATAGTATTATCCTGTGATGGAATACTCTAAATCAATGCACAGAAAGTACAGATAAACATATCATAAGAATGAATCTTACAAATTTAATATTGAACCAAAAAGCAATTTCAGAAAAATATATTCAGTGTGATCCCATTTGTTTAAACTGAAAAACATGTAAAACAATAATGTTCAATGTCCTTTACTAATGCATTTATTTTGGCAAAATTATAAAGGCAAGAAATGGGACTAATTAACAGGACAGTGTTAAGGACTCTAAAAATATGGGTAGTTTTTGATTCTTAAGCAGGTAATGTGTACATCAGTGTTCATTTTATTATTTCTTACACTGTGTTCATGACTTACACATAATATTTTGCTAGTTTTAAAACATAAGATGTGATAATAATCTAAACAGACCAAAGGAAAAAATGAATATGTTAAAAAAAAAGACAGAGAATGAGCCCTGTCTGATAGAAAGCATAACAAAGCAAGTAGAAGAACTCTCACGAATGCTTGATCCAATAAAGCTAGGTTTGTGCTCCACAACACTTCAGCATTTTAATGTGATTTTTGATGTTTGCTTTTTGCAACGGTGATTCTCAGTTGCCTCCCTCCTATGTCTTTACAAGCTGAAATCAAGTGAAGCTACTTCTGACTTTTTCTAAAACTAAAACCCAACATGAAGGTCTGCGTATTCTTTCACATGTGCACGTATGTGGCACTTTTCCATGATGCAACAGCAGCGGGTCTCTAGCTAAGCTACAGCAGCAGCTCTAAGAGGCAGAGGACCCTGAAATGAGGCTGAAAGAAAGAATAGTCCATAACTGACATCAGGCAGGCTGCTGTTGTAAGCAAAGAAAGGAGGCTCACAGGGGCGTGGACTCAGGCCAGGTCAGGCTATTGTGGGAGAACACGGAGCACACGTGTCAGCTGGAAAGGGGCCGGCTCAGGAGACAAAATAGGCACGAGAGGAAACCGAAAAATTGACATACGTGACTATCCTTGTAGAAATGTATAAAGGTTTGGATTATTTTGCTTATCGAGTTATAATAAACTTATTCTAAAAATGTTTATGTAAAGTATTATGTACATTTTTGTTTTACCTTATAAAGATTATTTATATTTGAATTGTGTGGTTTTGGAATGACAGTATTTATAAAGTTGGTTTTGACATTCTCTACGATGCTTAATGAAGAAACTGACGTTCAAAGAGATTGGTTAATTCCCTGTGGCCAGTGGCTGAGCTGGGACAGAGTTCAGGTTTTCTGATTCTCAGCCTATGTTGTTTTCTCTTCATTTTAATGTGAACCTAAATAGGTATAGGATCTAGACAAATATGACATGTAGTGCCTTATTTCTTGTTTTCTCTGTAATGAATGCCAGGTGAGATAACTTTATTTACAAAAGCCCATCCAGTGGCTCAGGTTGCATCTGTAGTTGCCTTTGAATCATTTATTAAACGTCAGGATGGTAAAGTGAGGAGCTTCCCCAAACTGAAGCAGAGTGGCATTTGTCCCAGGTTGTAGAGTGTTCCCTGCCATAAATAAAGACATGCTGGTTCTTGTTATTTATACAGGCACTGGGGTTCCCATTAGCTCTTACATTTCATATGCTTAGAGCAAGAAGCTAGAGAGTGACTTAGGATACAGTGTAAATATATTAGTAAATTAAGACAGTTCTGCAAGATTTTTAGGACTTCTATTTTTCTTCTATTCATCATTTATGAAGTATTCTTGCTGGAAATAGTTTATGTCTCTCTATCTTGCTGAGTGATGAATACTCGGCCAGGATGTTAAAATGTGGTTTCATGAAGTATGTTGTGTTTCTGTCTGTTCTTGTTTCCTTCCTTGAAATGTGTAAAAGTGAAAAACGTATTAATCATAAATCAAGCATTCATCATAAGCCTAAAAAAAGATAAAATAATCAGTAGTATCATTGACTAAAATTATTACTCACCAAAAGAAACTCACTCCAAAGTTAGCACAATACTAACAGAGAATCCTAGTTTTGCCAGGAATCACTGAGGCATAGTACCTCACATGGGAAACATGGGAAGTAAAACCACCTGAGGAGCCACTTGATGGTGAGTCAGGCTGTTCCTCGAAGAGCAGGCTGTGACTGCCAAACTTTGTAGGTTAAGGAGTATTTATAATGATCTTTGAGGAAACTGCAACTGACAATTGAGGAAAAAATATGTTAGTTCATGACTGCAAAATACATGACAGAATCACAAAAACTATTTTACAAGTTTAAAAAACAAACCTGATGCTGATGCAGGGCAGGCAAACCCCAAAGTGGGGCTTAGCCTGCAAGGGTTCTTGGCTTCACCCAGGAAAGGATTCAAGGGCGAGCCAGTGGTAAGGTGGAAGAAAACACCTTTATCAAAGCAACACTGTTGCAGCTCCTGTGGGGTCACAGCTCAGTGACTGCTCCCAGGGTTGCCCCATAGGCAGGGTGCCGAGAGTAGTGGCTGAGCCCAGTTTTGCAGTCATATGTATACCTACTTTTAATTACATGCAGATTCAGGGGTGGTTTGTGCAGAAATTGTTAGGAAAAGGGTGGTAATTTTTGGGTCATCAGGTCATTGTTGCTGAAAGGGGTGGTAATGCCTGAGTGTTGCCATGGCAATGGTAAACTGACAGGGCACACTGGTGGGTGTGTCTTACAGAAAGCTGCTTCCTCTCTGTCCTTGTTTAGCTAGCCCTCAATCTTTTGTTTGTAAATTAGCAAGAGAGTCATGGCCTTGGCGTTTTATCCCAGAAGTACAGTGGACCCCAGAGCACTCTAGACCCAGGAGCCAAACCAAATCACAGCATCCCACAGTTGTGTCCAGCCCTCCATCACTGATTGGCTGCAATCCAACAAGTGGCCCAGAGGGGAGGGTTCATTGAAAGCTCTTTGCTAAGTGACAGGCCTTTAAGGAGGAAAAGGCTCTTAAAGATTGGTATGGGATGGGGGAAGTGTTTGTGGTCACCACGGCACCCCAAGGCTGTGGCCTTCTCTGAGCACCCTGAGACTCAGCCATGTCTTTCTCTCTGTTTTCCCACAAAACCAGCCAGTGCTAAAGCATATCCTCCTGGCCTACAAACAGTGGCCATGACTTCCAACTCATCCAGGCTACTTCTGATTTAGTGTTAGGCCGCCCACTTGATGTGTATGTTCCCATGCTGTGTCGACCCTATTGCTTAATGAAAACACACAGCACTTGTTTGCTTCTCAACTTACTTCTCATGAAATATTACTACTCCTCCCCACCCAATCACAATCCTTTGCTGCCAAAAATCCCTTGCTACCCTGTACATTTTGCCCAATAAGGGAACCCCTCAGCACACACACACAATGGCCTCCTCAGAAGGCTGAGTCAGCAGAATCGCATGAACCAGGGAGTTGCAGGTTGCAGTGAGCCAAGATTGCGCCACAGCACTCCAACCTGGCGACAGAGCAAGACTCTGTCTCAAAACAAACAAACAAACAAACAAAAAACAAAAAAAATGCCTCACTCATCTCACTTATGTAATCATGACAGTACCATTAATTGTATTATCCCTATAATACAGATGACAGCTGCCAAAAATATACAGAGAAGGGTTAATTAAACTGCATAACATTACTCAGAGAATGCATTCTTTTTATTCCATAGGTTTTTCTATTACAGTACTACATACACAGAGGCCTTCCATTGGAAATAACTTATAGGAATTATTGTAGGCCTCTTTGCACTTTCTTCAGCTCTTGGTTTAGGTCTCAAATTGTGAGTGATTTCTCTCTTTAGTGAAGTTGTAATGCAATTCATTACCATAGCAGAAAACACAGAAAATATTACCTATTTATTAACTGGAAATGCACTCACATCTTGTATTAGTCCATTCTCATGCTGCTATGAAGAAATATCCAAGACTGGGTAATTATAAAGAAAAGAGGTTTAATTGATTCACAGTTCCACATGGCTAGGGAAGCCTCAGGAAACTTACAATCATGGCAGAAGGCACCTCTTCACATGGTGGCAGCAGAAATAATGAGTTTTGAGCAAAGGGGAAGCCCCTTATAAAATGATCAGATCTCATGAGAACTCACCCACCATCATGAGAACAGCATGGGGGCAACTACCCCATGATTCAATTATGTTCACCTGATCCTACCCTTTACACTTGGGGATTATGGGAACTGCAATTCAAGATGCGATTTGGGTGGGGACACAGAGCCAAATCATATCATTCTGTCCCTGGCCCCCCTCCAAGTCTCATGTCCTCACATTTCAAAACACAATCATACCTTTCCAACAGTTCCCCAGAGTCTTAGCTCATTACAACATTAACCCAAATGTCCAAGTCCAGAGTTTCATCTGAGTCAAGTCCCTTCCACCTATGAGCCTGTAAAATCAAAAGCAAGTTAGTTACTTTGTAGATACAATGGAGACACAGGCATTGGGTAAATACACCCATTCCAAATGGGAGAAATTGGCCAAAACAAAGGGGCTACAGGCCCTATGCAAGTCTGAAATCCAATAAGGCAGTCATTAAACCTTAAAGTTCCAAAATGTTCTCCTTTGATTCCAGGTCTCACATCCAGGTCACACTGATGCAAGAAGTAAGCTCCCATGGCCATGGGCAGCTCCACCCCTGTGGCTTTGCAGGGTACAACCCCCTCCTGGTTGCTTTCATGGGCTGGCATTGAGTGTCTGTGGCTTTTCCAGGGGCACAGTGAAAGTTGTCAGTGGATCTACCATGCTGGGGTCTGGAGGACAGTGACCCTCTTCTCACAGCTCCACTAGGTAGTACCCCAGTGAGGACTCTGTGTGGGGGCTCCAACCCCACATTTCCGTTCTGCACTGTCCTAGCAGAGGTTCTCCATGAGGGCTTTGCCCCTGCAGCAAACTTCTGCCTGGGTATCCAGGCATTTCCATACATCCTCTGAAATCCAGGTGAAGGTTCCCAAACCTCAATTCTTGACTTCTGTGAACCCACAGGCTCAACACCACATGGAAGCCTCCAAGGCTTGGAGCTTGGACCCTCTGAAGCAATGGCCTGAGCTGTACCTTGGCCCCTTTTAACTGTGGCTGGAGCTGAAGCATCTGGGAGACAGGGCACCATGTCTCAAAGCTGCACAGAACAGGGGGTCTTGGGCCCATGAAACCATTTTTCCCTCCTAGGTTTCCAGGCCTGTGATGGGAGAGGCTGCCAAGAAGGTCTCTGACTTGCCCTGGAGACATTTCCCTCATTGTCTTGGTAATTAGTATTCCACTCCTTGTTCTGCAAATTTCTGCAGCTGGCTTGAATTTCTCCCAAGAAAATGGGTTTTTCTTTTCTATCGCCTTGTCAGGCTGCAAGTTTTCCAAACTTTTATGCTCTGCTTCCTCTTGAACACTTTGCTGCTTAGAAATTTCTTCCACGAGATACCCTAAATCATCTCTCTCAAGTTCAAACTTCCACAGCTCTCCAGGGCAGGGGCAAAGTGTTGCAGTCTCTTTGCTAAAGCGTAGCAAGAATCACCTTTATCCCAGTTCCCAACAAGTTCCTCATCTCCATCTGAGACCACCTCAGCCTGGACTTCATTTTCCATGTCACTATCAACATTTTGGTAGAAGCCATTCAAGTCTCTAGGAAGTCCCAAACTTTCCCACATCTTCTTGTCTTCCAAGTCCTCCAAGTCTCTAGGAAGTTCCACACTTTCCCACATTCTTCTGTCTTCTTTTTTTTTTTTGAGATGGAGTTTCGCTCTTGTTGCCCAGGCTGGAATGCAGTGGTGCAATCTCTGCTCACTGCAACCTCCACCTCCCATGTTCAAGCCATTCTCCTGCCTCAGCCTCCCAAGTAGCTGGGATTACAGGCATGCATCATGATGCCCAGCTAATTTTATATTTTTAGTAGAGATGGGGTTTCACCATGTTGGCCAGGCTGGTCTCACACTCCTGATCCCAGGTCATCCACCTGCCTCGGTCTCCCAAAGTCCTGGGATTACAGGGATGAGCCACCACACCCAGCCTTTACTGTCTTCTTCTGAACCCTCCAAACTATTCCAACCTCTGCCTGTTGCCCAGTTCCAAAGTCACTTCCACATTTTAGTGTATCCTTATAACAGCACCCTATGTCTGTGGTACCAATTTACTGTATTAGTCTGTTTTCATGCTGTTATGAAGAACTCCTCAAGACTGGGTAATTTATAAAGAAAAGAAGTTTAATTGACTCATAGTTTCACATGGCTGGGGATGCCTCAGGAAACTTACAATCATGGCCAAAGGCACCTCTTCACAGGGTGGCAGCAGAAACAATGAGTTCTGAGTGAAGGAAGAAGCCCCTTATAAAACCGTCAGATCTTGTGAGAACTCACTATCACGAGAACAGCTTGGAGAAAACCACCCCTGTGATTCAATTATGTCCATCTGGTCCCACCCTTGACACATAAGGATTATGGGAATTACAAGATTACACATTAATCTTAAATTACACATTAATAAGTGTGTAATGAAACATCCCCTTTTTTTATTTGAGTTCATTTCAATAGATATGGAAATAATAGAAAATGCATCTGACATCAAATTCCTGGGAAGTACAGACAAAAAAAAAAAAACCAAAAACAGATCTTTAAAGGTATTTGAATAAGTAAATGTTGCAGCCAAACCATATCACTTGTTAAAAATGCACGTTAACCATTGAATCAAAACCATATATAAGCTTAGATAATTCAATTTCAACCAGATTATTCCTTTTATTCTTTAAATGATGGAGAACATTATAGCCATAGGCTCGTGCTGACAATTTTTCCTTAAATGAATGAAAAGATGAATTTATTTTTCTCAAAGAATTCTGTACCATTATAGGAATAAAAGATCAGCAGTTGTAACAGGGAATGGCCAAAAAGCCTGAAATAACATTGCTGTTAAGAATTAGCTATTACAAAATCGCCCCAAGAAATCTCAGTGCTCCACAAACTTCACATGGTTGAGGGCCATAATTATTATAAAAGTTGAACTATGTTAATTCAGAGATCACTGTCATTATTACTCTCAAGGATCCGAGAGCCATGCATAATCCCAGAACATTGCATACCTAATCAGGAATGGAGAAGTAATGTCCTTTTGAATTTTATACCTCTGGGGCTGCCCATAAAAATCTTAGGATTTTGAGCTCTTTGAGGGTCATGATGTTTACCTCTATTCTCTTTCTGTCCACAAACATCTAAGATATCAGTAATGTTATTCACTAATTTGCTGACAAAGAGTAAATTGAATAAAATTTAAATATATTTACTCTGAAAGTAATAAAATTTAAATATATTTACTCTGAATATATGATCTTTAGAATAAACTAATTTTTCAGTGATTCATTCTGCACAATTTTAAATCTTTTTCATAGTAACCTCAGTTTGTGTGACTTTAAATGGGAAAACTCACATTTTAAATGTATAATGAAACATCCTCATTTTTGATTTGAGTTCATTTCAATAGATATGGAAATAATAGAAAATGTCCCTGAGGTCAAATTCCTGGGAAGTAGAAGCAAAAAAATACCAGATCTTTAAAGGTATTTGAATAAGTAAATGTTGCAGTCTGTACTTTATCAGTAAGCTATGATACAAAAAACAATGCATGGCAGTTGCTTGTCAATTTTGTGATTTATTCAGAAACATACATCTCTGCATACACTTACAGTTTTATACAGTAGTGCAAAACGTCAAAAGCACTGATGTTGCTCAAAGGAAATGTTAAGGAGCTAAGCCTCGCTGCAAATTCCTTCACAAACCCGTCCAATCCTGTGAGCGTCGAGCGGCCTTCACATCACAGCCTGCATCCTGACAGGCCCGTGAGACCCATCCCGCTTCATGGAACGTGAGTCAGCAGCTCAGGGAAGGACAAGGACATCTACATAATTGGCTTGAAATATTCAACTTTTCAAAATTTTATATTTTCATACATATAAATATATATTCTTAAAATGTATTTTTGTTTTTCTATCCGAACAGAAGTGCAATAATTCTTTAAAAATACTTCTAAACAGACCAGGGCAGTGGCTCACACCTGTAATCCCAGCACTTTGGGAGGCCGAGGCAGGTGGATCACAAGGTCAGGAGATTGAGACCATCCTGGCTAACACGGTGAAACCCTGTCTTTACTAAAAATACAAAAAAATTAGCCAGGTGTGGTGGCGGGCGACTGTAGTCCCAGCTGCTGGGGAGGCTGAGGCAGGAGAATGGCGTGAACCCGGGAGGCGGAGCTTGCAGTGAGCCGAGATCGCGCCACTGCACTCCAGCCTGGGTGACAGAGCGAGATTCTGTCTCAAAAAAAAAAAAAAAAAAGATAGAAAATAGCATTAACCTTGAAGGACGCTTTACGCCAAATGGACCTAATAGACACATACAGAAACTTCACCCAACAGCAGCAGAATACACATTCTTCTCAGGGACACATAGAACATTCTGCAGGATAGACAACAGGTTAGACCACAAGACGAATCTTTGCAAATTTAATATTAGAATCATATCAAGTACCTTTTCAGACAACAATGATATGACACTAGAAACCAACAATAGAAGGAATTCCAGAAAATGTACGAATACGTGGAAACTAAGCAACATGGTGGTGAACCACCAATAGGTCAATGAAGAAATGGAAATTAAAAGAATTAAGCAACATGCTCTTGAACAACCAATAGGTCAATGAAAAAATTAAACAAGAAATGTAAAAATATCTTGAGAAAAACAAAAATGGAAACACAACATACCGAAACTTATGAGATCCAGCAAAAGCATTTCTAAGAGGAAAGTTTATAGCAATAAACATCAAGAGCAAAAAGAAGAAAGATCTCAAATAAACAACTTAGTATTATGCCTCAAGGAAATAGAAAAAGGATATCAAATTCTTCCAATGTTAGCAGAAGGAAATAAAATAATAAAGATCAGAGCAAAAATAAGTGAAATGAAAACTAGAAAATGACACAAAAGATGAACAAAACTAAGTTTCTTAAAAATATAAAACCAATAATCTTTTAGCTAGACTAAGAAAAAAGGAGAGAAGACTCAAATAAATAAAATTAGAAATGAAAAAGGAGACATTATAACTGATACCACAAAAATACAAAGGATCATAAGAGACTGTTACAATTACATGCCTTTACAAAAATCATTTTTTCATTGGCAACAACATTGGAAAATGTTATGCTAAAAGAAATAAGCGAAGCCAAAAAAGACAAAAACTTCATGTTCTCAATTATATGTGGAATCTAAAACAATCAAACTGAAAGAAGCAGAGAGCAGAATGGTCATTAGCAGAGGCTGGAGGTGCGGGGTGGAACGGATAGATATTGGACAAAAGGTACAAAGCCTCATTTATACAAAAGGAATAATAAGGGTTTTTTTTCTTTGAGATATATTGCAAAACTTGGTGAAAATAGTACATAGTAAAGAATTCTACATTTTAAAAATCACTAAGAGAGTAAATTTCAAATGCATTCCCCATTAAAAATGACAAGTATTTGAGGTGGTGGATGTTAATTAGCTTGATATAATTATTCCAAATTGTATTCATAAATTATATCACCATTTTGTACTCCATAAATATACACAACTACGATTTGTCAATTTACAATTTAAAAATAAAAATCAAAGCACAAAACAAAACAAGAAAACACAATACGTGTGTGTGTACCTATGCATGTGTGAGTCCATACAAGTGCACACACACACCCCCTTCACGTCCATTACTTTCCAAAGTGGACAAATGTGTAATTATTTCTAATTAATCATTAGAAATACATCAAGGAACAAGTACAATAAGGCAAGTAAATTTACTGATATCCCATCAGAGATAAGTGGGACATTGCAAATTAACAACAATGGAGGAACAAACCACAGTTTATTTTCTTACTTTATGAGACATCCTTTTTGAATTTTGAAAAATTATAGAGAAGTATCTTTAATTTGGTGTAGATGCTTAGTTATTCAAAAGGGAACTTAGAAAAATTAGAAGCAGACCACTTCATTATTTTTCACAATAATAACCAATATGAAACTTTTCCTGGAAGACTAAAATCTTACCACAAAGAAATTAAGCAAAAACATTGGGCACTTCTTATATAAATACAGCCTGTTTTGAAATGGTATGTTTTTTAATTTTTACAAACATTTTCACTTGCAGATAATTTCGCATGTGCATAAAAGTTGAAAAAATATGCAAAGAACTCCCATATACCTACCCTTTACCCAGGTTTATCAATTGTTAACATTTCATCACACTTGTTTATTCTAGATAGGTATTGATATAGATATACACACACATTTTTCTGAATTATCTAAGAGCAAGATGCAGACAGTATGCCCCTTTATTTCTATACACTAGTGTAGATTTCCTAGGAACAAAGTCATTCCTTAAAGGAGGAAATTCAGTGAGGCCTTCTGCAGTAAATGACATTCTGAGCCAGCTGATTTGGCCTTGTGACCAATATGAGGGACTATTTAACTTCGTATTTTTTTATCTCCTTCTTTATTTACACCCAGTTATATTGTTTTCCATTTCGTTTACTCGCATAAATGTCAGATTTGTCCATGTGATTTATCAGGTTTATCAGAATATCAACTTGAATCTTTTCTTTTCTCTAACATTTATCTAAATATCTCAGGAGACTCTCATCCTTCCTTCTCTCCTTTATTCCATTTGCAAAGTTAAAAAAAAAGCCTCAATTATGGCATTTCAGTATTCATAGTAGTACAGATAATACATTTATATCAAGGAAAAGAAACGCATTTTAGGCCAGGCGCGGTGGCTCACGCCTTTAATCCCAGCACTTTGGGAGGCCAAGGCGAGCGGATCAAGAGGTCAGGAGATGGAGACCATCCTGGCCAACATGATGAAACCCCGTCTCTACTAAAAATACAAGAATTAGCTGGATGTGGTGGCGCGTTCCAGTAGTCCCAGCTACTCCGGAGGCTGAGGCAGGAGAATTGCTTGAACCCGGGAGGCGGAAGTTGCCGTGAGCCGAGATGGTGCCATCGCACTCCAGCCTGGCGACAGAGCGAGATTGTCTCTCAAAAAAAAAAAAAAATGCATTTCAAAGGTAAGGAGACATAATATAGAATTTGTACACCAGATTCTGAACTTATGACTATTTTTAAAGGATAATTTGAAAGTTATACCAGAATATGCTGCTTCTTGATTTGGTCTTATTTTGCTCTTTTTATTTCTTGTTTTTGTTTGTTGTTTGAGGTAGGAATTTAGTTGGTTGAGGACTTTATCACTTCTAATATAAACATTTAGTAATAAAAATTTTCCTCTCACCTCTGCTTCAGCTGCATCTTACATATTTTCATATACCTTATTTTTATTTTAAATCAGTTGTATGCACTTTAGTATATTGTCAACAAGATAATATTTCTAAAATAAAAACCAAGACATCAAGGGTTTACTTTCTGAACATTTCTTAACATTAAATCAGCACAGCATCTTCCCAGATCTTTTCGTTTTTGGATGGCTCCATACTTTATTCCCTACCTACCTCCTCTTTCCTTTAAAGAATGATTAACAGGTTCCATAGACAATATCAAATAAAACCCGAAACATAACCAAAGTAATTGGAAGTAAAAGAGAAGGAAGGGTAAGATAGTTAACATAAACATGAACCAGTTTATACACTTTTTAATAATGTTTTTCTTTTACTTAAAAAATAAGTAGAGTGTAAAGGTAGTCCTTTGTTTAATCACTGAATCTCAAACTGTTTACTACAGAATAAAACAAGTAAAATAATCATCATCCATTATAAGCTTAATCAAGATGAGCACTGTTTAATCCTGATTAATTTATAACTAATTTTCTGCTGCTGGTACACTTTTTAAAAACAGCTTTGTTTAGCCATAATTTAAATTTTGTGTAATTTACTCACTTAAAATGTTTCATACATATTAATATATTCATTCAGTTGTTCAATCATCACCAAAGTTTCATTTTATAACATTTTTGGTACCCTCAAAGAGTCCCAGTACCCATTAGCAGTCACTTCCCATTCCTCCTCCACCTTACATCATTAGGCAACCACTGTCTAAACTTGCCTGTTTGGGAGATTTTATATAAACGGAATAATACAAAATGCACTCTTTGGTTCTGGTTTCTTTTATGCAGCATGATATTTACAAGAATATAATATTTTCACCCAGGTTGCAGCATGTGTTAGTACTTCATTCCTTTTGTTGGTCAATAACATGATATCATATATATGATATATGATACACCATATTGTATTTATCCATTCATCAGTTAATTAACATTGGGGTTGTTTTTACTTTTTGGCTATTATAAGTAATACTGTAATAAATATTAAAATTTTTTTAAGAGCTTGTGAAGAATGGCACTAATTCTTTAAATGATTGGTAGATATTATTCTAGAAATGATATTTCGTCAACATTATCTAATATGTTGACATTCTTTTTTCATAGTACCTTTAATAGTTCTTTTTATTTCTATAAGGTCAATAGTAATGTCCCTCTTTCATTCTTAATTTTAGTAAGTTGAATCTTTCTTTCTCCCTGTAAGTGTAGCTAAAGTTTGTTAATTTTGTTAATCTTTTTAAAGACCCAACTCTTGGTTTTGTTGATTTGCTCTACCATTTTTTCTATTTCTTTAATTTCTATTTCAATGTTTATTATATCCTTTCTTCTGCTTATTTTTCATCATGATCTCATCTCTGACTCATTGGTTATTTAGAAGTATGTAGCTAATTTTTATAAGTTCTGCTTTTCCCAAAGTTCTTTCTGTTTTTAATTTCTAATTTAATTCCACTTTGATCAAAGAACAATCATTTTCTACTTTTTTTGAGGTTTGGTTTTTGGCCTAGCATGTGATCTATTTTAGGAACTGTTCCATGTGCACTTGAGAGTAATGTTCCGCTTTTGGGTGTACTGTACTGTCATCTAGCTAGTTTATACTGTTACTCAAATCCTCCATATTCTTGCTAGCATCTATTTAGCTTTTCTGATTATCGAAAGTGAGATACTGATGTCTGCTATGATTACCATCTCCAACTATTATTGTTGAATTCTACCTTTAATTCACCTTTAATTCTACCTTTAATTTTTGCTTTGTAGATTTTGGAAAAATTTCGTTCAGTGCACATAGGTTTATAATTTTTATACCTTCTTGATATATTGTCTCTTTAACATTACAGCATGTCCTTCTTTATCTCTGATGTATCAGTCTGTTCTCACAGTGCTAATAAAGACATACTTGCGACTGGGTAATTTATAAACGAAAGAGGTTTGACCTGGCTAGGGAGGCCTCACAATCACGGTGTAAGGCAAGGAGGAGCAAAGTCACATCTTACAATCATAGCGGCACGCAAGAAAGCATGCTTTATAAAAGCATCACATGGCCGGGCGCTGTGGCTCACGCCTGTAATCCCAGCACTTTGGGAGGCCGAGGCGGGCGGATCATAAGGTCAGGAGATCAAGACCATCCTGGCTAACACGGTGAAACCCCGTCTCTACTAAAAATACAAAAAAATTAGCCGGGCGAGGTGGCGGGCGCCTGTAGTCCCAGCTACTCGGGAGGCTGAGGCAGGAGAATGGCGTGAACCCCGGGGGGCGGAGTGTGCAGTGAGCCGAGATCGCGCCACTGCACTCCAGCCTGGGCGACAGCGAGACTCCGTCTCAAAAAAACAAAAAAAAAAAAAACAAAAACAAACAAAAACAAACAAACAAACAAAAAAGCATCACATAACTGGTCTGAGATAGTATCTCATTGTGGTTTTGATTTGCCTTTCTCTAATGACCAGCGATGATGAGCTTTTCTTCATATGTTTGTTGGCTGCATAAATGTCCTCTTTTGAGAAGTGTCTGTTCATATCCTTTGCCCACATTTTGATGGGGTTGTTTGTCTCTTGTAAATTTGTTTAAGTTCTTTGTAGATTCTAGATATTCGCCTTTTGTCAGATGGACAGATTGTAAAAATTTTCTCCCATTCCGTAGGTTGCCTGTTCACTCTGATGATAGTTTCTTTAGCTGTGCAGAAGCTCTTTAGTTTAACCAGATCCCATTCGTCTATTTTGGCTTTTGTTGCCATTGCTTTTGGTGTTTTAGTCATAAAGTCCTTGCCCATGCCTATGTCCTGGATGGTATTGCCTAGATTTTCTTCTAGGGTTTTTATGGTTTTAGGTCTTATGTTTAAGTCTTTAATCCATCGTGAGTTAAATTTTGTATAAGGTGTAAGGAAGGGGTCCAGTTTCAGTTTTCTGCGTATGGCCAGCCAGTTTTCCCAATACCATTTATTAAATAGGCAATTCTTTCCGCATTGCTTGTTTTTGTCAAGTTTCTCAAAGATCAGATGGTTGTAAATGTGTGGTGTTATTTCTGAGGCCTCTGTTCTGTTCCATTGGTCTATATCTCTGTTTTGGTACCAGTACCATGCTGTTTTGGTCACTGTAGCCTTATAGTATACTTTGAAGTCAGGTAGCATGATGTCTCCAGCTTTGTTCTTTTTACTTTTGCATCTTTTAAAGAAGCTGAGGAAGAAAGGAGGGCAAGTATACATTTGTAAAGTTTGTGATATTAATCTTCTTATCTGCCATTTCTGGTTCTCTTTATTTTTGTACACCTGAAAAACCATCTGGTGTCAACCTCTTGGTTGGTCCAATATAGATTTGCTTCTGCTCATATCCTTTGTGCCATTATTGTCAAATATATTACATTTCCATAGGTTACGAATCCAACAATCTGTGTATATACATATCATTTTATGCAATTGCATTTTAAATCATTTAAGGAAAGAAGACAAAATATCCAATTATACTCTAACAATTATCTACATAATTCAATTTACCAGCCTCTTTGTTTTCTCATATGGGGTTGAACACGTATCAGGAATCAGCTTGGAAATCTTTTGTTAGTGTTAATAAATATCAAGATAAATCTTCCAGCAACACATTTTCTCAATTTTTGTTTATATGAAAATGTCTATTTTTTTTTTTTTTTTTCGAGACAGAGTCTTGCTCTGTTGCCCAGGCTGGAGTGCAGTGGTGCAATCTTGGCTCACTTCAAGCTCCGACTCCCAGGTTCACGCCATTCTCCTGCCTCAGCCTCCCGAGTAGCTGGGACTACAGGCGCCCACCACCACGCCTGGCTAATTTTTTCTATTTTTAGTAGAGACGGGGTTTCACCATGTTAGCTAGGATGGTCTCGATCTCCTGACCTTGTGATCCACCCACCTCTGCCTCCCAAAGTGCTGGGATTACAGGAGTGAGCCATCACGCCCAGCCAGAAAATGTCTATTTAATCTTTAGTCTTAGCATATAGTTTTGCTAGATATAAGATTCTTGGTCTCTTATTTTCTTTAATCACTTTTAATATGTCATTCCACTTTCTTCTGCCTTCTATTACTTATGATGAGCAATTAGTTTTTAATCTTATTGGAGTTTCCTTTATGTGATAAATCTATATATGAATATCAATTGGATCCTGTTGGTGAACTGTGTAGTTCATATTTTTCTATATCTATGCTAATTTTCTGACTAGTAATTCTGTCAGCTAGTGAGAAGTTTGGAATCCCCAACTATAATTGTAGATTTGTCTATTTCTTCTTTCAGTATTCTCTGCTTTTGCTCCATGTATTTTAAAATTCTGTTGGTTTATATACATTTAGGATCATTGTGTCTTCATAGTAGCTTGGCTTTTAAAAATATGTAATATCTTTCTTTGTCTTTAGTAATTTTCCTTACTCTGAAGTCTCTCCATCAGATATTAATATAGCAATTCCTGCATTATTTTGTTAATATTTGCATATTATGTCATTTTCATGCATTTAATTTCAATTTACCTATTTTATTAAATGTAAAGTAGGTTTCTTATAAACAGCTTATGATTAGGATATTTTGAAATCTACTTTGCTAATCTCTCACTTTTTATTAATGTATTTAGATAATTTTAAAAAATAAGATGCTTCATTTTTTACTAAGTTTTAGGTTTACAGAAAAAAAGATGAAAGAAAAAAACAGTTCCCGTATACCTCCCTGCAGTTTCTCCTATTTTTAGCATCTTACATGAGTGTGGCACATTTGTTAGAATCCATGACCCAGTATTGATACACCATTAGTTACTAAAGCCCATAGTTTATATTAAGCTTCACTCTTTGTGATTGACGTTCCATGGGTTTGGACAAATATATAATGGCATGTATCCAAAATTACTGTGTCATACATAACAGTGTTACTATTCTGAAAATCTCTTGTGTTCAATTTACCCCTAGTCCCCTTTCCCTCAAACTCCTGGCAATCACTGAGCTATTTACTGTGTCTGTAATTTTTCATTTTCCAGAATGCCATGTAGTTGGAATCATACAGAAATTAGTTCGTTAGACCTCGAACTTCGTTCTTCTCCTTCAATATTATGTTGGCTGTTCTGGATCTTTTGTCATTTCATATAAACTTTTGAACCAGTTTGTGGATATCCACTTAATAATTTGCTGGAATTTTGATTGGGGTTCCATTAAATCTACAGATCAAGTTTTGAAGAAATGACATTATGACAATATTGAGTCTTCTTATCCATGTACATAGAATATCTCTCCATTTATTTAGATCTTCTTTGATTTCTTTCATCAGTTTGTAGTTTTTTCTCACATAAACTTTGTACATATTTTATTCTATTTATACTCCATTTATTTAGATCTTTGATTTCTTTCACCAGAGTTTGTAGTTTTCTTATATAAACCTGGTACGTATTTTATTCAACTTATGCCTAAACATTTCTCTTTTCAATGCTAAAGTAAATGGTATTATGCTTTTAATTTCAAATTCCAGTTGCCCATTGCTGGTATATCAGAAATCAATTGACTTTTGTACATTAACATTATATTCTACAACCTTACTATAACCACATGTTAGTTCCACAAATGTTTTGGTTGATTTTGGGGGGATTTTTTACATAAACAGTCATGCCATCTGTGAGCAGAGTCTTATTTCTTTCTTCCAAATCTGTTTAACTTTTATGTGTGTTTCATGTTTTATTGCATTAGCTAGGACCCTCAGTATGATGTTGAGTAAGGTGAGAGCAGGCATTCTTTTTTTTTTTTTTTTTTTTTTTTTGAGACGGAGTCTCGCTCTGTCGCCCAGGCTGGAGTGCAGTGGCGGGATCTCGGCTCACTGCAAGCTCCGCCTCCCGGATTCACGCCATTCTCCTGCCTCAGCCTCCCAAGTAGCTGGGACTACAGGCGCCCGACACTACGCCCGGCTAATTTTTTGTATTTTTAGTAGAGACGGGGTTTCACCGTTTTAGCCGGGATGGTCTCGATCTCCTGACCTCGTGATCCGCCCGCCTCGGCCTCCCAAAGTGCTGGGATTACAGGCGGGAGCCACCGCGCCCGGCCGAGCAGGCATTCTTGCCTTGTTTTTCATCTTACCAGGAAAGCATCTAACTTCTTACCAGGGAATATGATGTTAGCTGTAGGTTTCCTATAGACATTGTCACTTTGAGGAAGTTTCCCTCTATTCCTAATTTGCCGAGAGTTATCGTTAATGGATGTTGGATTTTGTCAAATGTTTTTCTGCATCTGGTGATGTGATCTTGTTTTTTTTCTTTTTCTTGTTAATGTGATGAAATATATCAGTTTATTTTCAATTGTTGAACTAGCCTTTCATAATTAGGATAAGGTCCACTTCATCATCTTTTTACACATTATTGGATCCAATTTGCTAATACTTTGTTCAGGATTTTTGCTTAATGAAAGATAGTGCTCTTTGTTTTTTCTTTCTTGTAATGTCTTTGGTTTTGGTGTATGGTAATAATGACCTCATAGAATAACTAGGGAAGCATTCTGTATGCTTCTATTTTTTGGAAAAGATTCTGGAGAATTGTTATAATTTTTCTTTTAAGTGTTAGAATTTACCAGAGAACTCTCTGGGGCTTGGTACTTTCTATTTTATCAGCTTATTAATTATTGATTCAGTTCCTTTGATAGATATAGGACAACTCAGATTGTCTTTTTCTCCTGGTGTGAATTTTAGTAGATTGTATATTTCAAAAAAGTGCTGCATTTTATGTCGTTTATCAAACTTATGAAGTTGTTAATAATATTTCTTTATTTTTTTAAATGTTTTAATGTCCATAGTATCTATAGAGGTGGTTCTTCTTTAAATGTTGATATCAATAATTTGTATTCTTTTTCTCTCTTACTCTGGATAGAGATTTACCAATTTTATTTATCTTTTCAAAGAATCAGATTTTTATTTGTTGATTTTTTTCTATTGATTTTTCTGTCTTCAATTTTATTGATTTTTATATTTTTCTTCTCCTTATTTCGAGTCTAATTTGTTCTTCCTTTACTAGCTTCCTAAGGTGAAAAGTTAGATTATTAATTTTAGACCCTCCTTGGGATGCAACATGTACATTCAATGCTATAATTTTGGTCTAAGCATTGTTTTACTGCATTTCACACACTTCCGTGAGATGTAAGCGAAAATGAAAAGCTATAACCACCCTCTATAACTTACCGCAGTAGCTTTTCCATCCCCTTAATTTTTATCTCTATGGGTCTTCAAATTTAAAGTTGTATTTTCATTTTCATTTAGTTCAAAATATTTTACAATTCCTCTTGAGACTTCCTTGATCCATTTTTTATTTAGAAGTGTGATGTTACGCCTTCATGTATTTTAATGTTTTCCAGTCATCTTGCTGAATTTGATTTCTAGCTTAATTTCACTGTAGTCATAGAGCATAATTTGCATGACTTACATGCTTTTAAATAAGTTGCTTTTTAATGGCCTAGATAGTGATGTGTCTTTGTGAACATTCCATGGGAGCTTCAGAAGCATGTGTATTCTGCTGTTGGGTGAATTATTCTACACATGTCAATTGGATTAATGTCACTGCTGACTTGAATTATAATATGTCTTCCCTAATTTTTTGCCTGCTTAATCTGCTAATTACTAGTAGAGAGATGTTAAAGTCTCAAAGTACAGTAGTAAATTCATCTATTTTTCCTTGAAGTTCTATTAGTTTTTGCCTAACATATAGTGATGCTCTGTTTTTAGGTGTGTAAACACTAAGGATTGTTATGTCTTCTTGGAGAACTGACCGCATTTTTATTATGTAATTACTCTCTTTATTTCTGATAATTCTTCTTGTTCTGAAGTGGGATGTGTCATTAATAGAGCTACTCCTGCTTTCTTTGGATTACTGTTAGCATGCTATTGTTGCCAGTGGGCTGTTTCAGGTTCTTGACTTTGCTGCACAAAAAACTTTGAGAACGAGTCCAAAGTAACAGTAAGCAAAAGAGTTTATTGCAAAGCAAAAGTACACTCTGACAGCTGATCAGAGCAGGCTGCTCAAAGGTGAGACAGCCCTGTCTGATGCAGGGGGATCGCCCTTTATGGGAGATTTACATGATTATTCATGGAGGGGTGGGAAGGGGTGTTCTGATGAGTATGTTATGGGTAGTCCCCTGGCTGCACAGGTGCTGTGGTTGTACATGCTAGGACTTAACATTGCATGTATCATTAGCATCTTAAATCTCCACCCAGGGGTGTTTTTCTTTTACTATTATAGTGAATATAGGTCAGTCCAAGGACACTAATCATGGGTTTCTGTGCTTGTGTGAATTTGGGAATTCTCCCTTCTATTTTTCTACCTCCTTGCTGCAGGATGTTCTAATCCTGAGCCCATGATGTGGTTTGTGCACTGTCGGGTAGTTTATTCTCTCCATCTATTTAGCAAGTTTGTTCTCCTTTAAGGGAGGCTATGACCACCCTTTATAATTTACCTCAGTATCTTTTCCATCCCCTTAATTTTTATCTCTATGAGTCTTCAAATTTAAAATGAGCTTCTTGTAGACAGCTGGGTCTTGTTTTTTGATTTACTATGACAGTCTCTGTATTTTAATTGGTGTGTTTTAGACCATTGACAGTTAAGATGATTATTGATATAGCAATTAATATGTACCATCTGTGTTAATGATTTTTCTTTGCCGTCCTTGCTCTTAGTTATTTTTGTCGCGCATAGTTTTCTACTTTTTGTGTTTTAATTGAGCACTTTATATAATTTCATTTTCTCTCCTCCCTTAGCATATCAATTATACTTTTTTAAAGTTTTAAAACATTAGTCCTAGAGTTCGCAGTATATTTTTACAACTAATCCAAGTACACTTTCAAATGACACTATACCACTTCACAGGTAGAAGATATATTAATAACACAATATTCCTAATTCTTCCTTCCTTTCCCTTTTATCATTGCTATCTCTCACTTCATGTCTACAAAAGTATACAAAAGCATATATATATGCATACATAACCATATATTGTTGCTGTTATTATTTTGAACAAACTATTATGTCTTTGATCAATTAAGAACAAAAAAAGAATGTTTTACTTTACTTTTACTTATTAATTCATTGACTCTCTTCTTTTATTTATGTAGATTGGAGTGTCTGACCTACATCATTTTCTTTCTGAACTTCCGTTAACATTTCTTGCAAGGTAGGTCTACCAGTAACAATGCCTTCAGGTTTTGTTTGTCTGAGAAGAACTTTAGTTCTTATTACTTTTGAAGGATAATTGTACAGGGTGCAGAAATCTAGGCTGGTGGTTTTTCTCTCAACCTCACTCTTCTTGCTTGCATGGTTTCTAAGAAAATTTAAGAAGTAATTCTTATTTTTGCTCCTTTATATGTAAGGTATTTTTCCTCTCTGGCTTCTTTCAAGACTTTTTTTTTCTTATTTTTGATTTTCTGAAGTTGAATATGAAATGCCTAGGTGTAATTTTTCTTTTCATGTATCCTGTTTGGTGTACTCTGAGCTTTCTTGATCTCTGGTTTGGTGTCTGACACTAGTTTGGAAGGAATTTTCAGTCATTATTGTTTCAAATATTGCTTCCATTTTTTTCTCTCTTTCCTGTCCTTTTAAAATTCCCAATATATGTATTAACTCCTTTTGTAGTTTTGTTACAGTTCTTTGATATTCTATTCTGTTTTTACTGAGTAATTTTTTTCCTTGCTCTTTAGTTTTGGAAATTTCTATTTTCATATCATCAAACTCAAAGATTCTTTTTTGGCTATGTCCAGTCTATTAATGAGCCCATCAAAGCCCTTCTTTATGTCTATTACAATGTCTTTGATCTCCAGCACTTCTTTTTTGATTTTTTTCTTTGTATCCCCATCTCTCTGTTTACATAATTCATCTGTTCTTGCATGTTGTCTGTTTACTAGAGTCCTTAGCACATTAATCACAATTATTTAAAATATCTGCTTTGATAATTCCAACATTCCTGCCATACTTGACTCTGCTTATGATGCTTGTTCATACTTTTGAAACTGTTTTTTTCTTTGCATTTCAGTCTATCTTGGAATTTTTTTTGTTGAAAAGTGAACACAATGTACTAAGTAAAAGCAGCTATAGTAAATAGGCCTTTAGTAATGTAGTGATAGAGTGTAAGGGGAAGGGGAGCATTCTATAGTCCTATGATTAGGGCTCAGTCTTTTGGTGAGACTGTGCCCCTTGACTGTGAACTTCATCAGTGCTTCTCAGTTCCTCCCCGACTTTAGATGAGACATAATGGCTGAAGGGAGGATGAAGTTGTATATTTCCCTTTTTCCATGTGGAAATCTAAAAGGGATTGTAGTTGAGTGTTTCTCTTCCCCCACATGAAAGGCCAGAAGGAGATGGAGTTATTTATTCCCTTTTGTGCATGTGGAAGGCTACAGCCAGTTGAGTATTTTCCTTCTGTCACATATAGTAGGCTCTGATAAAACCCCAGCAGATTAGGCCCTAGTAAAATAGTTTCTCCTGGTGCAGGTCTTGTGAAAAAGAACTGAATACTCCAGCATGTTTCCAAATGGTTCCTTTCCCCTTCCTCCTGCCAGAAGCATGAGGACATTTTTTCCAACATTCACTGAGAACCTAGTAGAGTTTCTGGAGGCATAATTCACAATAGTATGGAGACCTTCAATGAGTGTACCCACTTGAAGTTTTTAACTTTCAGAGTTGTTCACATTGAGCTCCAGCAATTTGTTAATTACAGTTTCAGGTTTTTCTACTTCAGCACTGGTGATTTTTTTGTGTGTGTTTTTTTGTTTTTTGTTTTTTCTTTGGTGGAGTTTTGCTCTGTTGCACAAGCTGGAGTACAATGACATGATCTTGCCTCACTGCAATCTCCACCTCCCGGCTTTAAGCAATTCTCCTGCCTCAGCCTCTTGAATAGCTGGGATTACAGGTTCCTGCCAACATGCCCAGCTAATTTTGGTATTTTTAGTAGAGATGGGGTTTCACCGTGTTGGCCAGGCTGGTCTTGAACTCCTGACCTCAGGTGATCTGCCCACCTCGGCCTCCCAAAGTGCTGGGATTACAGGCGTGAGCCACTATGCCCAACCCAGCACTGGGTCTTATGGAGATTTCTGCTCATCATTTCTGCATGAGTTAAGTTTTGCTTCTATGTATCTGCCTGTCTGTCTCTCCAATTTGGGGGTCCTTGGTTTGCTCTCTGATCTCATTTCCATGACAGATCTGAGAAGAGGTGTTGAGTTTTTTGTTTGTTCAACTTTTTACTAGTTGTTAGGATAAAGTATGACTATCAAGCTCCTTACATACTGGTTTAGAACCAGAAGGTTTTCCTCTCATGTTTGAAGGACAGTTTTGCTAATTATAAAATTTCCAGTTGACAATTTTGTTCCTCTGCCTACACTCCTTTTGTTTTATCATACTTGGAGTTCATTGAGATTCTTGGATTTGCATATACATGTCTTAAAAATTTGGGAAATTTTTGATCCTTATGTTACCAGAAAGGAGTCCCGATACAGACCCCAAGAGAGGGTTCTTAGAGCTTACACGATAAAGAATTCAGGGCGAGTCCACAGTGCAAAGTAAAAGCAAGTGGTGAAAGAACAGCTACTCCATAGACAGAGTAGGACATTCCTGAAAGTGAGAGGAAGAACACATCCATCCTAGGTACGATGGTTGCATATATGGGGAGATGTGCTCTCCTACAAGAGTTTTTGATAAAGGATTAATTTTCTTAATTACCATATTTTGCAAGAATCAATATTATTATCTTTAATGCAAAATTAGGAATGCCCTTATTCTCCAGATATTGAGATATCTGGACACTCCCAAGTCTGGGTCTGTTTTAGTAAGCATCATTAATTTGTTCACTGATTCATAAACATCTAGAAGCTAGGAAAATGCCTAATTTTCTGAGAATGCAGTCCAGCAAGTCTCTGCCTCATTTTCCTAGCCCTCACTCAAAATGGAGTCGCTCTGGTTTGAACGCCTCTGACACTTATGTTGTCATATAAATCACTGCCTCCTTTCTCTCTTCTGTTTCTGGAACTTCTGTAATGAATAATTGGACTACTCAATGGTGACTCTTAAATACCTTAGACTCTATTCACTTCTTTTTTTTTTTTTTTCCTTTTTGGTCCTTAGACTCACTACTTTTAAATAATCTTTCTTTTTGTTTGCTGCTTCTTTCCACTGCCTGCTAAAGTCTTCTGTTAAAGCTGTCTCATAAATTTTTCAATTCACTTACCGTATTTTTCATCTCCAGAATTTCTTGTTGGTTCTTTTAAAATAATTTCTGTCTCTTTGTTGATATTCTCCTTTTGTTCATATATTATTTTCTTCACTTTTTAGTTATTTGTCTATGTTTTTCTTTAGCTCCCTGAGCATAAGATAGTTGTTTAAAAGTCTTTGTCTAGTATTTCAAATGTCAATGTTTCTTCAGGGACAGTTTCTGCAGCTGTATTTTCTTCTTTGATTGGGCCATGGCTTTCTTGTCTCTTTGAACACCTTGTAATTTGTTATTGTTATTGTTATTGTTATTGTGGAAAATGGGGCATTTAGAAAAAAAGGCATTTCCTCTCCCAATGTTTGCAGACTGAGTCTGTGTAGGAAAAGCTCTTCAATAATTAGAAGGGCATGTTCTTTGACTTAGATCAGCCTGGTCTGAAGGCTTTCATCTTCTGTGGTCTTTTATCAGACTTCATTTTCTCTGGGCCTGTGTGTGCTTTTATTTATTTTTTCCTTGTGTATACAGCCTTTTAGAAAATGTCTTAATTTCCCTAGGGGTCATAGCCCTGCTTCTTCTCAGAGTCAAGAATATTCTATTTTATTCCTCTATCTGTAATCTCATGCTCCAGGCATTTGCAGGTCTATCCTGCATCTCACAGCAGCATTCACGAGCTATGTCTGTTGTCTCTCATTGGTTTTCATAGCCTGAGATATGAGCTGTTCTGATCTTTGCTGTCTGACCTATGAGTTAGAAACAACAGAGACTAATCCAACATGGAGCTCCCAGACAGGTTAGAACATTTCAAATAAAGTCTGGTTTACCCTTCCAGTTCCAGGGAAGGAATTGGAAGCTCAGCTATCACTTTCCTAAGACCATTCTGTGCAGTTCCAGGGATGGGATGTGGCAAAGCCAAGTAAAAATGCCACACAATTTTCTACTGCTTTGGATGTGGCTCCGTTTTGTTTGGATGTTCATGTGTTTTCTGTAAACCTTGAGCTGTTTTCCATAGTTCCTAAATGTCAGTTTAACCAATTTGTAGTTTTTTCTTTAATGTTTCCATGGGGGACAAAGTTCTAAAGTTTTCTAGTCTGCCATTTTTCTGACATCACTGAGATTAATTTTATGCCCCAGCATATGTTTTTTTCTAGGTAAATATTCTGTGTACATTTAAAAAAAATGTGTATCTGACAGTTGGTATTTGAAATTTTCTATACATGTCAATTAGGTCAAGTGGTAATGTTGGTCAAATCTTTTACACTCTTACTGAATTTTTGTCTTCTTGTTGTAGAAGTTTTTGATATAGGGGTATAAAAATGTCTGACTAGGCCAGGCGTGGTGGCTCATGCCTGTAATCCCAGCACTTTGGGTGGCTGAGGTAGGTGGATCATCTGAGGTCGGGAGTTCAAGACCAGCCCGGCCAACATAGTGAAACCCCATCTCTACCAAAAATACAAAAAATTAGCTGGGCGTGGTGGTGGGTGCCTGTAATCTCAGCTACTCAGGAGGCTGAGGCAAGAGAATCGCTTGAACCTGGGAGGCGGAGGTTGCAGTGAGGCGAGATCGCACCATTGCACTCCAGCCTGGGGAACAAGAGTGAAACTCAGTCTCAAAACAAACAAACAAAAATCTAACTGTAATTGTGGAAAGAAAAATGTTTATTTTTCTTATAATCTTTATATTTTGCTTCATGTATATTGAATGTACATGATTTGTTATATAAACATTTAGGTTTTTTATTTCTCTTGACAAACTGACCCTTTCGTTATTTTGAAATGACTTTATCTCTAGTAATACCCATTCAACTGAAATTTACTTTGTGTGATACTACTATAGTCACTCCAGATTTCTTTGAGGTAGTGTTTATTATATATTTTTTCGTCTTTTTACTTGTGTTTTTCCATTTAAAGTATGTTTTTTTGGAGGCAGAATACTGTTAGCTTTTGCTTTCTTTGAATCTAATCTGTCAATGTTAGAGTTTTTGGGCAATTGATACTAATGTGATTATTAATATGGTTAGATTTAAGTTTATTTTCTTAAAATGGTTTTTCATTTGTTCCCTCTGTGCTTTGTTACTTTTTCTCTTTTTTAGCCCTTTTTAAAGGATAATTGAGAATTTCTTTAAGAATTTCATCTTATCTCTTTGATTGGCTTATCAGCCTTTACTCTTTGTTGGCATATTTTAGTGGTTGGTTTAGGGTATGTAGCATATATTTTTAACTTTTCACAGTGTATATTCAAGTTATAGTATATTACTTCACATATAAAATTTTTGAATAGCATACTTCCATTTTTCTCCTCATAGGCATTGTGCCATCACTGCCATAAATTTGACTTCTACATGTGTTATAAACCTCATGCTATATTGTTATTACTGTTACTTAAACAATTATATTTTAAAAATACTTAAATAATAAGAAAAACATTCCAGAGTTTTATTCATGTAGTTACCATGTCCAGTGTCCCACAGTCCTTTGTATGCATTTATATTTCCATCTAGTATCAGTTTTTCAATTTTCTTCTGCCTAAAAACTTTCTTTAACATTTATTGTAAAGTGGCTATGTTGGAGATGAATTATTTCAGGTTTTCTAAGTCTGAAAAATGTCTTTATTTTCATTTTTTAATGTTTTTTTCACTGCATCTAGAATTTTAAGTAGAAATATTCTTACTTTAAGTACTTAAATAAAATTTCTAGTTATATCATACAATGATTAGATTTTTTAAAAATATTTTTTCACATGTACTTTGAAGTTTTTAATTTCTGTTCGTACAATGCTGCCATTATAATGGCACTTAAATATCACTACAACCCAAGCATTTTTCTGAGTGTCCAGTACGTATCCATTCACTTAATGTTCACAGGAAGATTTGGAGGCATGCCCTGTTATTATCCCCACTTAAGAGGCCAAGAGAGTACTTGCCCAGAGTTGCTCAGTTAGTAAACCATGTTCCATAGGTGAATAAAACTTTGCCTTTGCAAACTTTAAATGTTGAAAGATAGGTTTAAAGGGTGATTATTGTTATTATTTTTTAACTTTTATTTTAGGTTCGGGGTACATGTGCTGATTTGTTAGGTAAATTACACATCATGGGGGTTTGGTGTACACATTATTTTGCCACCCAGGTAATAAGCACAGTACTAGATAGGTAGTTTCTCAGTTGTCACCGTCTTCCCTCCCTTTACCCTCAAGTAGGCCCCAGTGCCTGTTGTTCCCTTCTTTGTGTCCATATGTACTCAGTGTTTTGCTCCCACTCATAAGTGAGAACATGCGGCATTTGGTTTCCTGTTCCTGTGTTTGTTTGCTTCGTATAATGGCCTCCAGCTCCATCCATGTTGCTGCAAAGGACATGATCCCGTTCTTTTTTATGGTTGTGTAGTATATTCTGTGGTGTACATGCACCACATTTTCTTTCTTTCTTTTTTTTTTTTTCGAGCGGGAGTCTTGCTCTGTCACCCGGGCTGGAGTGCAGTGGTGCGATCTCGGCTCACTGCAAACTCCGCCTCTGGGGTTCACGCCCTTCTCCTGCCTCAGCCTTCCGAGTAGCTGGGACTACAGGCGCCCACCACCACGCCCGGCTAATGTTTTGTATTTTAAATTGAGACGGGGTTTCACCGTGTTAGCCAGGATGGTCCCCATCTCCTGACCTCGTGATCCACCGGCCTCCACCTCCCAGAGTGCTGGGATTACAGGCGTGAGCCACCGCGCCGGGCCTATGCACCACATTTTCTTTATTCAGTCTACCATTGATGGGCATTTAGGTTGATCCCATGTCTTTGCTATTGTGAATAGTGCTGCAATGAACATACACATGCCTAGGTCTACCATTCTCATTACTGGGTAGAATAGTAATTCTGTTTTGAGTTCTTTGAGAAATCACCAAACTGCTTTTGACACTGACTGAACTAATTTACATGTCCACCAGTAGTGTCTAAGCATTCAAAATGGTGACTTTTTGTTTGTTTGTTTTTGAGAAAGTCTCACTCTGCTGCCCAGGCTGGAGTGCAGTGGTGCGATCTCGGCTCACTGCAACCCCTGCTTCCTGGGTTCAAGTGATTCTCATGCCCTAGCCTCCCAAGGAGCTGGGATTACAGGCATGCACCACCACGCCTGGCTAATTTTTGTATTTTTTGTGGAGAAGGGGTTTCACCATGTTGGCCAGTCTGGTCTCGAACTCCTAACCTCAAGTGATCCGCCTGCCTTGGCTTCCCAAAATGCCAGCATTACAGGCATGAGCCACCGCACGCAGCCTCAAAAGTGTGATTTTTTAAAGAGCAAATAAAATACATCAAAATTAACTTATATCTGAAAAAAAGAAACCTAATAGACCAGTACTTTGATATGTGATTCAACTAGAGCTTTCATAAAAAAACTTTAGGCTCCCTAAAATGGCTCTTTATTGGATTAGTACAATTGGCTGAATTTTTGTTTAAGGGTAAAATTTGCCCAAGAATGTAGGGCTTTAAAATTTATTTGCCGGCGGGGTGTGGAGGCTCACGCCTGTAATCCCAACACTTTGGGAGGCCGAGGTGGGCGGATCACGAGGTCAGGAGATCGAGAGCATCCTGGCTACGGTGAAACCCCGTCTCTACTAAAAATAAAAAAAAATTGGCCGGGCGCGGTGGTGGGCGCTTGTAGTCCCAGCTACTCTGGACGCTGAGGCAGGAGAATGGCGTGAACCCGGGAGGCGGAGCTTGCAGTGAGCTGAGATCGCACCACTGCACTCCAGCCTGGATGACAGAGCGAGACTCCGTCTCAAAAAAAATACACACACACACACACACACACACACACACACACACACACACACTCTCAGCCGGGCGTGGTGGCGGGCGCCTGTAGTCACACACACACACACACACACACACACACACACACACTCTCTTAGCCGGGCGTGGTGGCGGGCGCCCGTAGTCCCAGCTACTCGGCAGGCTGAGGCAGGAGAATGGCCTGAACCCGGGAGGCAGAGCTTGCAATGATCCCAGATGGCGCCACTGCACTCCAGCCTGGGTGACAAAGCAAGCCTCCTTCTCAAAAAAAAAAAATAAAGAACAAATCATATGAAACAAAAAAATAGCAGTTCTAACATGAATGTGAATCTGTATTTAATGGCAACTACACTTAGGTGTTTATGAGAGAATATTAAAATTTCATAAATTTACATTGAACGCTTAAGAAAAGAAACATATTGGCACAAAACTCTTTGAACCATGAAAAGTCCACTTTATTCAATATTTATGTGGAAATTATTCTGGCATAACTTCATTCTACACTGCTACAACAGGAAACTATAGGAACATAAGGACAAAATGCCAACATTTAACTGCAGCCTTTCCTGGGAAACATAATATGTTTAAAAAGCCTTTAGAGACAAAGAAGAGTCTATTTAATTTATGGCATGAAAAGAAATGTGACAACAAAGCATTTTGTAGTCATGGTTATCAGTCTTTGAAAAAGTTCTTAATAGGATTTGGGTTTATTTTAATTAATGAAAATAAAATATGAATAATTTATTGAACTCAGTATATTATAGCAGTGGGAACTTCTCATAAATTATTCTCAGATAATTTTCACAAGCTAATCAAAAAAGACATAATTCTGTTTATTATGAAAAATGGGATCCAAGGTTTCGAGAGAACTTTCGTGTCTTGCTATTGTTTCTAAAGTCTCCCTCCAGACCATCTCATTTCTGAGTCACAGACTTTCCTAAATAACAAGTGCAGCCAAATATGTTATCACTTCAGGGTCATTTTTGTTTGTTTGTTTTCTCCCTTTCTCTCTCTCTTTTTTTGTATCCTTATACCCGGCAGCAGTTTCTTTGAAAATTTGGACCAGAAGGTGCATAACAAGTTGTTCTGCAGAAGTTCTTATCTGATATTCTTAGGGAGCTATCCTGCATGTAATCTTCATTTTTTTTTCTCTACCATCATGTAGGCATACTCAGTGTAGACTACCACAATCCTGGATACCTCTCTGCTTAGATTTACAATCTCTGCTAAGATTTGCCACTGCAGAAAGTGTAGTAGTTTCACTACATATGAAAAAAAAGACTGCCTTCTAACTGCGTACTTATTTCTAGCTTCTAGATTGCACATTTACAGTGTTTGCAAAAGCAATAACTATTCTTACCGGTAGGAGATGAATTACACACTCCTTCTTCTTCTATAATAAGAGTTATCTACCTTCTGGTCAAAGTGCTTCCTTAAGGCACTTCGAAGCTCATCTGCTGGCAGGCATGAAGCGTGCTGTTCCCCTGAGCCTTCACGAACTGGATCTACTCAAGACAAAACAGTCTCTGCTTCATTATATTCAGAAATTCAGGCTTGCCATGAGGCTGTTTAGTGTTCTGAAACACAAATGCTGGCAAATCAAAAATTCTCCCAAACACGTATCTACCAATTTTTGCTCCTTAAATAGGAACAGTATTTTCTCATATCCTTAGATTAGCGGAGTTAAAAAGATGCCCCAAACATTGAGTCCCATTATTTTAAGCTTGAAGTTTTATAATTATAGCTTTATCCTTGCCCCATGAGAGACGCATTCTCTATCAAGCCATTCAAGCAAGGATCAGTTTTCAGTTTAGATAAAACTACAAAATGAATAAATTCACTTCTGACATTTAATTAATGCCTTTCTTTACTCTCTCCTACCCCTACACTCCACCCCTTATAGTACTTGCCTCCTCTCATTCTCCCCATCTCCAGCCCAAATCCAGATGACTTCTGCTATATTAAAGTTTGCTTTCAGGAAAAGATCTGAAATCCGTAAGCGGTTTCATACTAAATATTAGCACACTTCAGTGGTAGAACATTGATTTGCTGAAGTCTGGGGTTGATTTCCTAGCCCCTAAAATCACATTCTAACTGTGACTACCTGTTCTTTCTATAAGTTTAACATAGATTTAGGGTGAGACTTATCTTTTTATATAAACGAAAATATGTGGGAGAATGCTTTCTTTGTTTCTTTCTTTTTTTTTTTTTTTTTTTTTTTTTTGAGACAGAGTCTTGCTCTTTCACCCAGGCTGGAGTGCAGTGGCGTGATCTCGGCTCACTACAAGCTCCGCCTCCGGGGTTCAAGCGATTCTCCTGCCTCAGCCTCCCAAGTAGCTGGGACTACAGGCACTCACTACTATATCCGGCTAATTTTTTGTATTTTTAGTGGAGATGAGGTTTCACCATGTTAGCCAGGATGGTCTCGATTTCCTGACCTCGTGATCCGCCCACCTCGGCCTCCCAAAGTTCTGGGATTACAGGCATGAGCCACCGCACCCAGCCAAGAATGTTTCTTTCATACGTGAGCACATAGGGTATTTCATGTATTAGCATTAATGTTCCTTATCAAATATGCAATCAGGGGCTCTCTATAGAATCAATTTCAATAAAACAGTTAAGCAATTTTTTAATGGAGTAGGCATTGATTATAATTTTCTCCTCTTCTGACTTTTCAATTCTTCCCAATTAGCCAGTGATAAGAAACTGGAAAGAAAATTTCAACTTGTTTACCATTCACTTGTTTTTTTTAACCTACTGTAGTTTGGAAGGATTAAATTTTAGGCTAGCTGATTCATTTCACAAAAAAATTTATAAAATTTATAATTCATTTCGCACAAAAAAAGTTTTAATAAAAAATATTTCCCTTTGTATTTGAGCTCAACTTAATTCCCAATTGGCCCTGAAATGTGAGAATTGTTTTCCTAAAATATTGATGGATGTCAGAAGGCCACAAGAAGTGAGACCTCATCTTTTTTGCTCTATGAGAACATCAATCTTTCTATTTCTGTGAAAAATAAGGAAAGGTAGGTGGACTCTGGTGATTTCCTGATGTTGAAGTTAATAAAAAGCTCCATTCAAAACTACGATATTCGGCACAATTAATCTTCCCTGTTAATATAAACAGAAGAAAGAGTAAACTATTTGACCTCAAAGCTCTGGTTTAATTTCTAGCAAGTACGATTACTTCGGTTCACAATTTAAAAAATAAAAGCTTTAGATTTCTATTCCAAGCCATTACTTGATAAATCATTCATAAAAGAACATGAATGCACAAAACAAAAATAAACTTTTTTTAAAAATTTGGTAAGTGTCAGTGTTCTAGGATGTGCTGGCCATTCTTTGTGGAGGTCCTCAGAACCACCCTCTACTCTTCCAGCCCCAGTGTCACCCTTCCTGCCCGAGTGTCACCCTTCCTGCTCGAGTGTCACCTTGCTCCCCTCCCAGCTGACTTCCAGTTGGTTTTGGCTAATGAGAGACACCCACAGAAACAGTAAGGTTTCAGAAGTCAGAGCTCAAAAAGTTTCTTCCCTACTCACTCCTGTTTCCAGGTTCTGACAAGAAAATTCTTTTACTTCTATGACTGTGGCTCCTGCCAGACCTTTGTGTTCCCCGGCTGCTGCCTTCTGGGGATCTGGCAGCAACCGTTCCTCCCTCTGCGCCTCTGCTGTAGGTAGTAAAGGCTTTCTGCTAGTGCTTGTCTTTGGTTGCCACAATGTCACCTGGTGGGTCCCTTCACTTTTCTTTTCAGCCTGTCCCTTTAAACTATCTGAGCAAATCATGCTTTCTTTCTGGGCCTTGACTAATGCAGTAGTGCATTTTAAAAATCTGACTAATATCACATTGCATTGCTTAGAAAAATATCATAAGAAAAATAATTCTTTGAGAAGTAGCATATTTGTGAAAGTAGATCTATTTAGGAATTAAAATGCTATTAGATTGGCAGGCAAATGTTATATTTTTGTATTCTCACTCTATTTTCTAGAACTGAAAACTAAGTTCTAGCTTAGACTGCAATGCACACGGTATACTACAAAGAGAGACGATAAAATTGCAGGATGAGAGTATAAAGTACAAGGTAAAACCTTATTGAAACAAAATAAGCACAACTCTATGTACAGGTTGTATGTGTTTATATATAAGAGCCAAGGCCGGGTGTGATGGCTCACGCCTGTAATCTCAAGACTTTGGGAGGCCAAGGCGGGTGGATCACTTGAGCTCAGGAAGTTCGAGACCAGCCTGGGCAACATGGAAAAACCTTGTCCCTACCAAAAATACAAAAACTTAGCCGGGTGTGGTGGCACTCACTTGTTCTCCCAGCTTCTCAGGAGGCTGAGGCACAAGAATTGCTTGAACCTGGGAGGCAGAGGTTGCAGTGAGCGAAGATCACACCACTACTGCACTCCAGTCTAGGCGACAGAGCGAGACTCTGTCTCAAAAAAAAAAAGAAGAAGAAGAGCCAAAACAAGGATACATAAGGATACATACCAGCCTGTCAGCCTGTTTTGTATCATTGGTTACCTCAGTGGGGTTGGGGTGATGGTAGTGGCAATTATTAACATTTTCTTTATACAATTCTTTTAAAAATGTTCCTTTTGTAATTCAAAATATTCAAGAACAAATTTCAAAAGAGTCTGTCTTAACAAACATTTACATTCTTATAATCCAGAAGCTAGTCATCAAACACACCTCAGTATCATCATTTGTTCCAATATAAATATACTCACTTCCTAAATATGTGCTATTGCAAAGTAGATCTTATTCCTTTCTTATTCTGGTTGAATCATACAACCATTATCCAGATTGAAATAAAAAATATAATTGTATTTATTATCCATGTTAAGGTTAAATAGAAGGTAAGAAGTTTCAAAGTTTAAATTGCATTATCATGGAAAGTAGGGAAGAAAGGAAATAAAGCAGCAACACATAAAACATTTATATTTGTGATATTCGATATTTTTTCTGGGACATCCAGTGTTCTAGTTACATCGGCCATCTCGAATTCATGTCTTCATTTGTTCAGTAAGTGTGTAGTGTGTGATGATTGTGACGGATGCTTCTCTACTAGGCAAAGTAATTTTTAGAGCCTCACTACTCTTAGTCTGCAAAGTTCATTGCCAGCATTATCACCACAGCAAGTGTCTATGCTGATTTAAATAATAACCATATAGCAGCAAGTATAGCCACATAAAATGCATTTCAAGACACACATTTATGTTTAAGGACTTCAAGTCCCCTAACCAAACAACTTAAGTAGAATAAACCTAAATAAGTTTTAAGTCAAAAGCAGGGGAATCAAAACAATTACAAGCCTCCTGTCTTAGAAGAAAATGCTGATGCTTATTGGCTTAACCATATAAAATAGTGTATATACATTTACTAGACATGAACAATTTGGAACAAATTTTGAGTGTACCTATAAGTGTGTAAAATGTATATTTTATGTATTGGGAATAATATTCATAAATATATTCCTCCAATGTTGTAAAAAATGCATGCACCCTCACTACGCTAGTGATTTTACAGTTTAATGAAGCCATTTTGTTTTAATTGCAAATGTCTACCACCGTAGAAGTTTCTTGGCCTTTCTCCATTAAGCCTAACACTTTGAACACCCAAGTTCACTTTTTTTTTTTTTTGTCTTGAGACGGAGTCTGGCTCTGTCGCCAAGCTGGAGTGCAGGGTGCAATGTTGGCTTGCTGCAACCTCTGCCTCCCGGGTTCAAGCAATTCTCCTGCCTCAGCCTCCCGAGTAGCTGGGACTACAGGCAGGCACCACCACGCCCGGTTAATTTTTTGTATTTTAATAGAGACAGGGTTTCACCGTGTTGGCCAGGATGGGCTCCATCTCCTGACCTCTTGGCCTCCTCCGCCTCCCAAAGTGCTGAGATTACAGGCATGAGCCACTGCACCCGGCCAAGTTCACATTTTTAAAGACTCCATCTGATGCCTGACAAATTGGTATAATAATAGATTGACATTTGTTGTTTTACTCTAGGTCCAATTTAGAAAATGATTTCCATTTTCTCTCTTTCTGTCTCACTGAAGGCAACTGATCTGTCAATCAAAACTTTAGATTTATAATTTTTTCTGTAATAAAAGACGTGCTATTTACAGAGTTCTTGTGCAAAAGTAGTTTAAGTGAACCCAATTAATAATTCAAGAATGACTTTGTAAGATTCTTCATCTATTACATTTGAATTCATTTTACATTTTACATCTATTACATTTGAATTCATTTTAATGAAAAAGCCTTTCAAAGTTGTCTTTCCAAAGGGAAGATTAATACACTATTTCTTAGAGATACCATCTAAAAAAGTATCTTTCTTTCTTTTTTCTTTTTTGGAAACTCGCGGTGGTGGTAATGTGAGTGAGTTTGTCAATCTTTGCCCCTACTGTGAATTTGAGAAGCAGAGGAAGAGAAAAAGAGAAAGACCCCCCCCGCCCCCTGCCTCCGCCCCTCCCTCTAGCACACAGTAGGCACGCAAGGAGTGCAGTGTTAGCTGCTGCTGGACTGAGCTCCTCATCCTACACTTGCAGGGGTTGCTCTTTTGGACAGAAAGCTGGAATAAAACGTAAATTTTAGACTTCCACCAAGGCCAGGACTAGGGTGAAGGGACTAACGCACTAGTCTCAGGAGCAACTGTTAAGTAACGCTAATCCTGAATGAATGAAATAGTTTTAAAATTGAATGTAATCGCAAAGAAAAAAAAAACCCATGATAGACAAAATATTAAAACTTTAAATAAAGGCTTGCACTCGCACAACCCAGGCTCACCGGCCTCTCCCTGCTCCTGGCCCGGTTTCCCAGCTTGGTTCTCTACAAGTCAGAATTCCTAGCAAAATCAAAGTGTGCGCGCGTCTGCCCGAGTACACGCCGCAGAGTTATTTCTGCCCCATCTTCCCTATTTGAACTCAAACAGGACAGCATTTTCCTGGGTGCAGCCCCTGCGTTGGGTGAACAGCGCAGTGATAAAGCCTGGCGTTCTCCACCTGCAGGCGGAGGCTGACGGCGCGGTCTTTGGCGCGAGTCCGTGCACCGCGGCCGCCCCGCCCCGGTGGGAGAGAGGGACGGAGGAAGCTGCAGGTATAACGGGAGGAGAGCGCCAGGCGGAGCTGGGGCGTCCCTCCCGCTCGCTTCTTGACTCGCGTTGCTGCCGGCCGCCTCCCGCGCCTAGTGTCCGGGACGCGCCTGAACCTGCCGCCTCCGTGCCTGGGGTGGCGCCGCGCGGCCCCGAGCGCTCCAGAAAGCTGCGGCGCGAGTCCGCGGGGCCGACCTCGGAGACGCAGCTGGGGCCGGGCGCGGCTTGGCGGGAGGGTCTGCAGCGCCGAGGGAGGCTGCTAGTGCGTGAGGAAGAGAGCTAGAGACTGGACACGGGAGACAGAGCAGCGTCAGAGCCGCGCAGGGGACGGGAGTGAGAGCAGGAGCGACGCAGAGCGGCCGTCGCCGTGCCCGGGTCTCAGGGCGCCTGGCTGAAGTGAGCATGGCTTCAGTGGCCTGGGCCGTCCTCAAGGTGCTGCTGCTTCTCCCCACTCAGACTTGGAGCCCCGTGGGAGCAGGAAATCCACGTAAGTACAGCAAATGGTTTAAAACTTGCGCTAGGCTGTCTGGAAAACTTTGTTTTTTTTTTTATTATCGGTAATATTTGGAAGTGGAATTGCAGAACATGCTCCTGAACATGAAGAACCTTAAAAAAAATTTGGAATTGCAACCCGAAAAAGACGATTTTGTTTACAATAGACTTTCCTCTTGTGGGGGAGTCTAAGATATACCATGCATGTTTTGACTTTTTAATCGATGTACTTGAATATTCATTGAGAAAGTGGACGTTTCTGTAAAACCTGAAAAGCATCTTAATAAGAGATTAGCCTGCAAATGCTGTCATTTATTCCTTTTTAGGATTGTAATATTTTGTAGGAATTAAGTCTAACAGGGAAAAAACTGGCAGACATTACATCATACTGCATCAACTTAGATGTTAGCAGCTTACAGTTTTGCCGACCTTGGCAGCTTCAGAGTTAAAATGCTAATTAACTTCCATGCAGTATAGGGACAGAGCGCCTGTAGGTGAAACTAAATTAATAACCTGTCCTAACTACTAAGGGAATAACACTTGAACACCCCTGTCAGGGGCTTCGTTTCTCATAGTAGAAAGTTCTTGCTTAAAGACAAAACTCAGCCAGTCATTTAGGTGATCTTGAAAATGATTCCTCTCTGGATGCTAATATTTTACATTATTTAATTTGCCATCAGGTTCCCTGTTTTTTATTTTCCTTAATTTGGTAAACACCTAGGAAGCCTTTATTTCTAGAATGGGCTATGATTCTAATGTAATGATGATATTCCAGACAGATGAGCAAAACATAATGTACCCATATTTTATCACACATAAAAATGTTTGCACAACATTGCACATTTTTTTTTGGCTTGGAGTAAATCTCTATCAGAGAGTTGTCTTTCTTTCTTGATTAATCAAACCATGAGATTAGAATTTTTAAAATGTCTTCCTCTTCCTTCTCAAATCACTTTTATTTTTCTTTCAGTGGCATCTCCCCGCTGTCAGCCTCAGCCCTCTCCTACCAAAATCTCTTTCGAAATAAGTTCCAATAAACGCCAGTGGCCATGTTTGGAAATTTAGATTATTGCAGGATAACCAAGGGTAGCTTTCAGCAGTTCTCCTAAGCTGTCATGAAAAGTTTGCCGTAGCTCAGTGCTGTTCTGCCCGCGGGCTCAAGGGTGGGTTGGTTCTTCACACACAGGGCACGCACATGGGTTCATGAACTCACTGTGCATCATGATTCAGTTGCGCCTCAGTTAATCCTACACTTGGTGTGCCCTTCCAAAAAACAAGCTCCGGATTCCTTTGGTCAGATGCTGTACCGTGTTTCAGATTCAACTTTAATCTGCTTTTGTGAGAAGGCTTTGTGAATAAAACGTTGTTACTTAAATCAAAATCCTTGGGTCTTGTAATGGAAATTGCCGTTTGGCTTAAATAAACATATAAATGAGTTACTTATAGAAAGGCATGCTAGAGTAATTGACCAATCAACTGGCAAAATACAACAACAAAAAAAGTCACTAGAGGTCACTCTTACTATTGAATAAACAGGGCTTCAAAAAGACCTTCCTGGAGAAAAGCAAAGCAATGAAATCTGAGTGAGACCCTGCCACCACCTTTCCTGTTTTTGTTGCATAGTTGTGATTACTTTTTATTCTCAGGATTAGTTGTATTGGTAGTTATTTTGCTTGGAATCCAGTGGAAGGATTACAAAGCCCATAGAAATTAAGCTCTTCTCGTTTATAGTGAACATTCTTTTTGGAGGAGGGGAGGGCAGGGACAGATATTCCAAATGGACTCAGCACCAGACGGGACTCTCGCGAGTTGCTGAGTGACACGTAAAATTTCAATACTACTACTGTGGGTGTTTTCAGTCTTCTTTCGTTGATGAAACTTAGTATCCTCATATCTAATAAATTTTACTAATTTTAAATTACCTTTTAGATCAAGTAATTCTTCCAGATAAAACTATGTAACTGTAATAATTATACCACCTTCAATACCAAGAAGAAAGTCAATAAGGACATCTAAAAGTTTCCTTCTCATGAAGACACCATGAGTTGCTCACGTTATTCACAGCTGGTTTTCCAGAAGCACATTGGCCACCCACGAAGGCAGCCTGTTGATGATGGCATGAAATGGCTCTTCATGGGAAGAGCTCTATAGGCCGGGCACAGTGGCTCGCGTCTGTAATCCCAGCACTTTGGGAGGCCGAGGTGGGTGGATCACCTGAGGTCAGGAGTTCGAGACCAGCTTGGCCACCATGGTGAAACCCTGTCTCTACTAAAAATACAAAAATTAGCCGGGCGTGGTGGCAGGCATCTGTAATCCCAGCTTCTCGGGAGGCTGAGGCAGGAGAATCGCTTGAACCTGGGAGATGGAGGTTGCAGTGAGCCGAGATCCCACCATAGCACTCCAGCCTGGGCAACAAGAGGAAAACACAAAACTCTGTCTCAAAAAAAAAAAGCTCTCTAAACATTTGGCATTTTGGGGATTATGTGCAGTTTATCTGAATGTTATTTGACCCGACAAATACATGGGAAAGCTTTGTTAGGAAGATTCTGCATGAAGGGAAATATTTTCCTAACTTCAGTGCCCATAGACTTGCAGTGAGTGAAAGGTCACTTACTGCTCTCATTGAGTCCCTGAAAACAGCAGGAAGCATCAAGAGAAAGATTGAACGCTGGGCACTGATCCCAGGGATACACAAACAAATGGCTGGGCAGATTTTGCAGAAATTCCTGTAACTGGTAAAATGCTGAGTAATAGCCTTTGATGTAACTTTTCAGTGGGTTAATTTATTCATTACTTAGCCTAAAACACTTTTAATTTTAATTGCCTCAATTTTTTCCCCTAAATGGTTATGTTTTGCAAGTTCGCCAGCCAGCCTGGGGAAAGAAGGGTAAGCCTACTATAGAGTGTGTGTGGGTTAGTTAGGGAACTCACTTAGATGTGAAATGTGTCAGGAAAGAGATCTCACAGAGTGTAGGAATAATTATTTTTACAGATGTTTCATTTTGGACCTTTTAGTAATACCATTTAAAGAGAGATTCTGCAGATGAGTAACAGACTCTTAATTTTAGTGTCAAATGGTACTCTATAAAAAATGGAGTTCAGGCCAGGCGCGGTGGCTCACACCTGTAATCCCAGCACTTTGGGAGGCTGAGGTGGGTGGATCAGTTGAGGTCGGGAGTTCGAAACCAGGCTGGACAACACGGTGAAACCCCGTCTCTACTAAAAATATGAAAAAATTTCAGGGCATGGTGGCAGGTGCCTGTGAGGAGGCAGTGAGCTGAGATCGTGCCACTGCACTCCAGCCTGGGTGACAGAGTGAGACTCTGTCTCAAAAAAAAAACCAAAAAATGTAGTTCAGTTGCCTTTATTCATTTTCACCAAACTCTATACAAACAGTACGGAGCATAAGTAGCCCATGGAAGTGATAATCAATTCCAAGACATTGGTTTGATCATGAAAAAAGAAAAATCAAATTACTTGGCGTTCTTCTTCCTCTTCCTCTCCCCTTCTCTTTTTGAACAATTCAGTCCAAGGTCATTCAGTTCAGCTTAGGCATCCATGCTGGGTAAGTGGGGAGGCCCAGGACCGTGGCAGAGCATTCAGAAACCAGCAGGGTAAGGAAAGCATCCACAGTGTAGCAAGGGTGGGGACCTGGAGAGACAGGAGACAGCACTGGTGGTGACCTATAGCAAGTTGTCAGAGGTTGAGTGGAGTGAGGAAGGAGGCATTCCAGATTGACGGAGGCTAAGAAAACAAGGCAACTAAATACTACTCTGCATTAAATGCTTATGTTATAAAGGACATGATTGGGAATTGGTGCAACTTGAACAAGATTGGGGATTAAATATTGGAACTTTATCCATGATGACTGGGATGATCATATTATGGTTATATAGGAGAACATCTTTGTTGTAGGAAATGTACATTGAAGTATTCAGGGGTGATACAGCATATTAGCGTAGTTCTTCCATGTTTTCTGTAAATTGGTTTCAAAATCAAATGGTTACTTTAAAAAACCATTCAAAATTGTGTTTAAAGGAAACATGGACCAATAGAAAAACTCAGAATAAGTAAATGTAGTTAAATTGATGCATTTTACCTAAGAGATGTAGATTAAAAATAAAGAGGCTGAAAAAAAACAGTTATGAGAAATAACAGTTCATTTATGTATGTCTCTAAATCAAATTAGCCTGGATTTCTGAATGACAAAGATGTGATTGGCACTGGGATTGTTCCCCATTCTTTTCGGGAAGTTTATTGCCTAGGACATCTGTATCAGTCTTCAAAGTACTTTTTAAAGCTTGAATATCTGAATGAACCCGTCAGACTGACTGTTATCTGGTCTTCTGTAATGGGCTTCCGCACCTTTGACGAGACTCTTAGCTGAAAGGTTGCTTGTCCCTAGGCCCGGTTGCTCCACGTTGTAAGAGCATTTGCAAACGCTTGGTTGTACATGATTGTGCACATGTCAAGTCTGCTCTGTCACTGTAGAAAAAATATTCCTTTTCACTTGACATATAAAGCATGGAATTGTTTGTTTTAAATGTCTTTTGTCAAGGATTTCATATATCTGCTTGATGTGTTGTACTGTATAAAAGACAAGTGTGAAATTCATTGCTTACTATGATAGCCTTAACAGGACTACAGTAAATCTAGTTTTCTAAAAAATGGAGTATATGCTTAGCTTGGTTAAAATTTTATAATGAAATGACTACTCTGGTAATAAAAATTAAAAAATATCATAAAGTGGGGGCTAAAAAATGATACTGCATGTGTTCCAGTTAATGAACATTTTTGTTGTAATAATACGAAGAGTGATTGAAATCTAAAAACATTTGAGATTTTAAAATAGTTTTAACCTTATAACTACAGGATTGTAATTTAAGTAGCATACCTACTTAATAAGGCAGCAATTAAAATTATTGCTAAGAATTAAATTACCAAGAAGACATGGTCTAGTATGTATTGCCTGGGCTGTGGTTTGAATTACTTTTGATTAAGTATAATCACATTTTTTGAGAGTATAAAAACAGAGGATATTACTTGCTTCTAATTCACAGATGTGTTTATGAACCATTGGCAATTAAAGCATTTGCAATTGAGGCCCTAAGAAAATTTTAGGTTAAAATAACATGTTGAGTTATGCCTTATAACTCAGTATATGCTTATACTTTATATGCTTTACGGAGTTTTGAATATATAATATATATATATAATAGTATATTTTTCCAGGAAATATATAACTTGTAGTTCCTTGACTTATTTTGTAACTAAATCCCATGGAAAAAAGTTTATTGAATGTCATTGTTTCTCAGGCAAATGTAGAGTTAGGAAAATGATATATATACATATTGGGAATCTTTTAGAAGGCTTGGACTTGGTAGCTCAAATCTTCTACAACCTTGAGCTTCAACTTTCTGGCCGGTTCAAGAGATCTCTTCACTGTCCTTTTCATGTAAAGTCAATGTTTATGGAACACTAGACCAAAATGGAAGGATTCCTTTGGAAACTGAACAAACAGTTGAATTAGTCTTTGACTTGATGGAGTGATTTGATCTAAAATATTACCTAACCGTTTTAGATATCTGTTCAATCAGAGCTGCCTCCATATACGCAAATGATAATTTGTCTTGGATTTTTAGATATCTTAGCCCTCAGACAAGCTAATAGAGTTTAAATTGAACCTGGTGTTTTAGGGACAGTTGAATTGTTGGGATGCCCAGGAAAACAGTCACATTTTTCTATAAGTATGTGTTTATTTGGCTGGAATGTGGGTGAGGAAGAAGTTATATGTGAATTAAAAGAAACATTGTCTCAATGTCACATGTTAAATTAAATTAAATTACAGGCAGAACTAAGCGAGTTTACGATTGCTGCCGCTGGGAGCAGAGACTATTTTCAGCTTACATTTATAACAGAAGGAGGGATTTAAAATATAGTATTATGCCTACCCTGATACAGCTAACCTCCTCCACCCGCCCCTCCACACACATACAGCTACATGCTTACCCTCGAACTATGAAAGAAGGGTGTCTCTCAGGCATCCTATATTTAACCCAGCTTTGGACACGTCCCTGGAGTCTAGTCTTTTTGAACACAGCAGTGAAGATAAGGAATGGGGAGGGGGCTTTGATTTCAAGACCACTAGATATAGTAGATTCCTAATTTAATTTCAAAGACAAATCAATTATTAACACAAATACAAAGAGAACAGTATTTTAAGCAAAGCTTCTGTTGTGGCAGATAACCTTTTAAGGTGTCTCCCAGTTGGGTTTCTATTTTAGATGACTTTTTGAAGAATATATCTCTGTAATAGAAATATGTTTGATGATTCTCATCTTTAAGAACTTCACATTTGCTATAATTAAGATATTTATGAATTTATTGTAAGAAGATTGGTAGAAAAAGTAATGCAACATCAAATGGGAAAATAAATATATAATATTATATAGCTGTTCAAATATAGGGTTTATGATTCTTGAGCTAATTTGAACTGCTGTACAACACCAGGAGAAAAGTCCACAGCTGTGTTAAGAAAGCTCTTATAAGCTTATGAAATTTTATAGCACTGGCTGTCACAGAACCTACAATTTACAAACATTTGTAAAAGTTAGGAAAGTTTTGGGTTCCTCAATAGAAAATGATGTTGCTTAGCTTTAAGAAAGTAACTAATTTATCTCTTTTTATTCTTGTCCACTAACAAAGGAACCCAAATGGTCTTTTAAAATTATAATAAAACTAAGCTAGTAAAATATCACATAGATTTTGAGATACTGTGAATAACCATAGAAAATAACAATTTGTTGTTCTTCATGTATAAAAATAAGCTTAACATGCTTATCAATACATCTTGAACTATAAGAGATTTATTTCAGCAGTGTTGCCAAAGGGTAAGCAATGCCTGCTGCCCGTAGAAAACTTTGAATTCCCTAAGCTCAGGGCTCCTCACTTGTCATGTAACCCACTGCGTGTGCACACATCCATCTGTGCCCATCCATATTCCCCCAGAGGACTTGGAGGCAAGGAAATTGATGCAAATATGCTGATGCTCATATTGTTTGCTATGCTGTAAGTAATACAGTCCTTTGCTTTGACCCAGGAGTCTTCTGCCGCAACGATGAAACAAACTGGCAGACTCATTTGTTAGCTTGCAAGTAGGGTAAAATCTCTCCTCACGGTTCTTCACAGTGTACTTGTCTGTGCAATGGTCATCTTCTTCATGAATATAATTATAACATGATATAAGAAATGGTGAGCTCTTACCTATAGATAAGCAAACATTGCAATATAAAAATAGCATATGTTATTTCATAAATCACAGTTGACACATTCTAGAGAAGAGATTGGGCAGCCTTTTTTGGATGTCACAGTTGATTCTACTGTCCTCATTTCTTCTTCTCTTTTCTGGGATATGAGGAAGAATTGCTGTGACAAAGCTCATCTCCTGGGTGGCCAGGGTTGATTGTCAATTTGTTTTGTTCTTGGAAGGCTAGGCAGATGTCCTCTACCTCCTTCTTTATGCCATGTGACGTTCATCCCTTTGATTTTCCTGTTGCATTTTATTTAGTATTTTAGAATACTGCCCACATTCCATTCTGGAAAGTCCACTCTCCCAGCCAGAGTTTTCTTAGACAGCTGAGCCTGTGATGGGCGTTTGTGCAGGTAGCCTCTTTTAGAAAGTGAGCTCATAAAAGAGGGAAGAATGGAATAGAGAAGAAAAATCCACCAAAAGGGGGTGTCATTGAGCTGGTCACTTCTGTGAGCAACTGGGGCATGAACTCCCTGGGAAGCTCTCAGGAAGCCGGGAGAATGTGTTTCACAGCTGTGCCTCTGAGAGACAGCAGGGGGAATGCATTTATCCCGAGTCCTGTCCAGGGATTCAGCACTGCCCTTGGGGCGCTAACTCCTGGCTCTAAGGAGAGGAATATGAATGAATGGGTTGCGACTGGGTTTCTGCAGGCATCACAGAGGCCAAGAGACAGAGAACTCGAACACTGAACTTTTTAATTTTTTATTATTTTATTATTATTATACTTTAAGTTATAGGGTACATGTGCACAATGTGCAGGTTTGTTACATATGTATACATGTGCCATGTTGGTGTGCTGCACCCATTAACTAGTCATTTAGCATTAGGTATATCTCCTAATGCTATCCCTCCCCCGTACCCCCACCCCACGACAGTCCCCGTTGTGTAATGTTCCCCTTCCTGTGTCCATGTGTTCTCATTGTTCAGTTCCCACCTATGAGTGAGAACATGTGGTGTTTGGTTTTTTGTCCTTGCGATAGTTTGCTGAGAATGATGGTTTCCAGCTTCATCCATGTCCCTACAAAGGACATGAACTCATCATTTTTTATGGCTGCATAGTATTCCATGGTGTATATGTGCCACATTTTCTTAATCCAGTCTATCATTGATTGACATTTGGGTTGGTTCCAAGTCTTGCTATTGTGAATAGTGCCGCAATAAACATACGTGTGCATGTGTCTTTATAGCAGCATGATTTATAATCCTTTGGGTATATACCCAGTAATGGGATGGCTGGGTCAAATGGTATTTCTAGTTCTAGATCCCTGAGGAATTGCCACACCGACTTCCACAATGGTTGTACTAGTTTACAGTCCCACCAACAGTGTAAAAGTGTTCCTATTTCTCCACATCCTCTCCAGCACCTGTTGTTTCCTGACTTTTTAATGATTGTCATTCTAACTGGTGTGAGATGGTATCTCATTGTGGTTTTTGATTTGCATTTGATTGCCAGTGGTGATGAGCATTTTTTCATGTGTTTTTTGGCTGCATGGATGTCTTCTTTTGAGAAGTGTCTGTTCATATCCTTTGCCCACTTTTTGATGGGATTGTTGGTTTTTTTCTTGTAAATTTGTTTGAGTTCATTGTAGATTCTGGATATTAGCCCTTTGTCAGATGAGTAGGTTGCAAAAATTTCCTCCCATTCTGTAGGTTGCCTGTTCACTCTGATTGTAGTTTCTTTTGCTCTGTAGAAGCTCTTTAGTTTAATTAGATCCCATTTGTCAATTTTGGCTTTAGTTGCCATTGCTTTTGGTGTTTTAGACATGAAGTCCTTGCCCATGACTGTGTCCTGAATGGTATTGCCTAGGTTTTCTTCTAGGGTTTTTATGGTTTTAGGTCTAACATTTAAGTCTTTAATCCATCTTGAATTAATTTTTGTATAAGGTGTAAGGAAGGGATCCAGTTTCAGCTTTCTACTTATGGCTAGCCAGTTTTCCCAGCACCGTTTATTAAATAGGGAATCCTTTCCCCATTGCTTATTTTTGTCAGGTTTCTCAAAGATCAGATAGTTGTAGATATGCGGCATTATTTCTGAGGGCTCTGTTCTGTTCTGTTGTTCTATATCTCTGTTTTGGTACCAGTACCATGCTGTTTTGGTTACTGTAGCCTTGTAGTATAGTTTGAAGTCAGGTAGTGTGATGCCTCCAGGTTTGTTCTTTTGGCTTAGGATTGACTTGGCAATGCAGGCTCTTTTTTGGTTCCAAATGAACTTTAAAGTAGTTTTTTCCAATTCTGTGAATAAAGTCATTGGTAGCTTGATGGGGATGGCATTGAATCTATAAATTACCTTGGGCAGTATGGCCATTTTCATGATACTGATTCTTCCTACCCATGAGCATGGAATGTTCTTTCGTTTGTTTGTATCCTCTTTTATTTCCTTGAGCAGTGGTTTGTAGTTCTCCTTGAAGAGGTCCTTCACATCCCTTGTAAGTTGGATTCCTAGGTATTTTATCCTCTTTGAAGCAATTGTGAATGGGAGTTCACTCATGATTTGGCTCTCTGTTTGTCTGCTATTGGTGTATAAGAATGCTTGTGATTTTTGCACATTGATTTTGTATCAAATCAAGATACAAAATCTTGAATTTGAGATTTTGCTGAAGTTGCTTATCAGGTTAAGGAGATTTTGGGCTGAGACGATGGGGTTTTCTAGATATACAATCATGTCATCTGCAAACAGGGACAATTTGACTTCCTCTTTTCCTAATTGAATGCCCTTTATTTCCTTCTCCTGCCTGATTGCCCTGGCCAGAACTTCCAACACTATGTTGAATAGGAGTGGTGAGAGAGGGCATCCTGTCTTGTGCCAGTTTTCAAAGCGAATGCTTCCAGTTTTTGTCCATTCAGTATGATATTGGCTGTGGGTTTGTCATAGATAGCTCTTATTATTTTGAGATAGGTGCCATCAATACCTAATTTGTTGAGAGTTTTTAGCATGAAGCGTCTTTGAATTTTGTCAAAGGCCTTTTCTGCATCTATTGAGATAATCATGAGGTTTTTGTCTTTGGTTCTGTGTATATGCTGGATTACGTTTATTGATTTTCGTATGTTGAACCAGCCTTGCGTCCCAGGGCTGAAGCCCACTTGATCATGGTGGATAAGCTTTTTGATGTGTTGCTGCATTCGGTTTGCCAGTATTTTATTGAGGATTTTTGCATCAATGTTCATCAAGGATATTGGTCTAAAATTCTCTTTTTTGGTTTTGTCTCTGCCAGGCTTTGGTATCAGGATGATGCTGGCCTCATAAAATGAGTTAGGGAGGATTCCCTCTTTTTCTGTTGATTGGAATAGTTTCAGAAGGAATGGTACCAGTTCCTCCTTGTACCTCTGGTAGAATTGGGCTTGTGAATCCATCTGGTCCTGGACTTTTTTTGGTTGGTAAGCTATTACTTATTACCTCAATTTCAGAGCCTGTTATTGGTCTATTCAGAGATTCATCTTCTTCCTGGTTTAGTCTTGGGAGGATGTATGTGTTGAGGAATTTATCCATTTCTTCTAGATTTTCTAGTTTATTTGCGTAGAGGTGTTTATAGTATTCTCTGATGGTAGTTTGTATTTCTGTGGGATTGGTGGTGATATCCCCTTTGTCATTTTTTATTATGTCTATTTGATTCTTCTCTCTTTTCTTCTTTATTAGTCTTGCTAGCGGTCTATCAATTTTGATGATCTTTTCAAAAAAACCAGCTCTTGGATTCATTGATTTTTTGAAGGGTTTTTTTGTGTCTCTATTTCCTTCAGTTCTGCTCTGATCTTAGTTATTTCTTGCCTTCTGCTAGCTTTTGAATGCGTTTGCTCTTGCTTCTCTGGTTCTTTTAATTGTGATGTTAGGGTGTCAATTTTAGATCTTTCCTGCTTTCTCTTGTGGGCATTTAGTGCTATAAATTTCCCTCTACACACTGCTTTAAATGTGTCCCAGAGATTCTGGTATGTTGTGTGTTTGTTCTCGTTGGTTTCAAAGAACATCTTTATTTCTGCCTTCATTTCTCAGTGTACCCAGTAGTCATTCAGGAGCAGGTTGTTCAGTTTCCATGTAGTCGAGTGGTTTTGAGTGAGTTTCTTAATCCTGAGTTCTAGTTTGATTGCACTGTGGTCTGAGAGACAGTTTGTTATAATTTCTGTTCTTTTACATTTGCCGAGGAGTGCTTTACTTCCAACTATGTGGTCAATTTTGGAGTAAGTGTGATGTGGTGCTAAGAAGAATATATATTCTGTTGATTTGGGGTGGAGAGTTCTGTAGATGTCTATTAGGTCTGCTTGGTGCAGAGCTGAGTTCAATTCCTGGATATCCTTTTTAACTTTCTGTCTCGTTGATCTGTCTGTTGTTGACAGTGGTGTGTTAAAGTCTCCCATTATTATTGTGTGGAAGTCTAAGTCTGTTTGTACGTCTCTAAGGACTTGCTTTATGAGTCTGGGTGCTCCTGTACTGGGTGCGTATATATTTAGGATATTTAACTCTTCTTGTTGAATTGATCCCTTTACCATTATGTAATGGCCTTCTTTGTCTCTTTTGATCTTTGTTGGTTTAAAGTCTGTTTTATCAGAGACTAGGATTCCAGCCCCTGCTTTTTTTTTGTTTTCCCTTTGCTTGGCAGACCTTCCTCCATACCTTTATTTTGAGCCTATGTGTGTCTCTGCACGTGAGCGGGGTCTGCTGAATACAGCACACTGATGGGTCTTGACTTTTTATCCAATTTGCCACTCTGTGTCTTTTAATTGGAGGATTTAGCCTATTTACATTTAAGGTTAATATTGTTATGTGTGAATTTGATCCTGTCATTATGATGTTAGCTGGTTATTTTGCTCATTAGTTGATGCAGTTTCTTCCTAGCCTTGATAGTCTTTACAATTTGGCATGTTTTTGCGGTGGCTGGTACTGGTTGTTCCTTTCCATGTTTAGTGCTTCCTTCAGGAGCTCTTGTAAGGCAGGCCTGGTGGTGACAAAATCTCTCAGCATTTGCTTGTCTGTAAAGGATTTTATTTCTCCTTCAGTTATGAAGCTTAGTTTGGCTGGATGTGAAATTCTGGGTTGAAAATTCTTTTCTTTCAGAATGTTGAATATTGGCCCCCACTCTCTTCTGGCTTGTAGAGTTTCTGCCGAGAGATCCACTGTTAGTCTGATGGGCTTCCCTTTGTGAGTAACCCGACCTTTCTCTCTGGCTGCCCTTAACATTTTTTCCTTCATTTCAACTTTGGGGAATCTGACAATTATGTGTCTTGGAGTTGGTCTTCTCGAGGAGTATCTTTGTGGCATTCTCTGTATTGCCTGAATTTGAATGTTGGCCTGCCTTGCTAGGTTGGGGAAGTTCTCCTGGATAATATCCTGCAGAGTGTTTTCCAACTTGGTTCCTTTCTCCCTGTCACTTTCAGTTACACCAATCAGACGTAGATTTGGTCTTTTCACAGTCACATATTTCTTGGAGGCTTTGTTCGTTTCTTTTTACTCTTTTTTCCCTAAACTTCTTTTCTCGCTTCATTTCATTCATTTGATCTTCAATCACTGATACCCTTTCTTCCAGTTGATCGAATTGGCTACTGAAGCTTGTGCATGTGTCATGTAGTTCTCGTGGTTTTCAGCTCCATCAGGTCATTTAAGGTCTTCTCTACGCTGTTTATTCTAGTTAGCCATTCGTCTAATCCTTTTTCAAGGTTTTTAGCTTCTTTGCGACGGGTTCGAACATCCTCCTTTAGCTCGGAGAAGTTTGTTATTACCGATCATCTGAAACCTTCTTCTCTCAACTCGTCAAAGTCATTCTCCATCCAGCTTTGTTCCGTTGCTGGCGAGGAGTTGCGTTCCTTTGGAGGAGAAGAGGTGCTCTGATTTTTAGAATTTTCAGCTTTTCTGCTCTGGTTTCTCCCCATCTTTGTGGTTTTATGTACCTTTGGTCTTTGATGGTGGTGACGTACAGATGGGGTTTTGTGTGGTTGTCCTTTCTGTTTGTTAGTTTTCCTTCTAAGAGTCAGGACCCTCAGCTGTAGGTCTGTTGGAGTTTGCTGGAGGTCCAGTCCAGACCCTGTTTGCCTGGGCATCACCAGCGGAGGCTGCAGAACAGCAAATATTGCAGAATGGCAAATGTTACTGTCTGATTCTTCCTCTGGAAGCTTCGTCTCAGAGGGGCACCTGGCTGTATGCGGTGTCAGTCAGCCCCTACTGGGAGGTGTCTCCCAGTTAGGCTACTCAGGGGTCAGGGACCCACTTAAGGAGGCAGTCTTTCCATTCTCAGATCTCAAACTCCATGCTGGGAGAACCACTACTGTCACCAAAGCTCAGTCGGAAATTCAGAAATCACCTGTCTTCTGCATCATCCATGCTGGGAGCTGTAGACTGGAGCTGTTCCTATTCGACCATCTTGGATCCGGACCTGTCTATTTTCTTAGCCTTATGAGCTTTGTCAAAAGAGTGCAGCTTCTTCTGGTTTTTCTTATGAGTATACAAATATCTCTTTGATTGCATTTAGCAATGTTTGAAAGTCTTAATTTGTTCTGGGCTTTAACTTACTTTGCTTTATATTGCCTCCTTTTAATGTTCCTTTTCATTGTAAGTATTCCTTTTTTTTTTTCCGGTATGGAGTCTTGCTCTGTCACCTAGGCTGGAGAGCAGTGGCACAATCTTGGCTCACTGCAACCTCCGCCTCCTGGGTTCCAGTGATTCTCCTGCCTCAGCCTCCCGAGTAGCTGGGATTGCAAGTTCCCGCTACCATGCCCAGCTAATTTTTGTATTTTTACTAGAGATGAAGTTTCACCATGTTGGCCAGGCTCGTCTCAAACTCCTGACCTTGTGATCCGCCCATCTTGGCCACTGTGCCCAGCCTCACTGTAAATATTCTTTCCTTGGTTACTTTGCCCATTTCTCTCTTCTTCAGTGGAACATGTTTTTTCTGGATTTCATTTGGGTAGCTTTTCACATTTGATGAACGATGTTGTCCTCAATCATAACAACAGTGTCTCTTTGTATAGTGGTTGCTCGGAGGTCTACAAGGTAGTATTATGTAACATTTCCCATTGTGTTCTAAATACTCTTATCTTTTTAAGTTAAAAAATTGAAGTCAAAGCTGCCTCTAAAGTCACACACATAGCTTGAAATAATAGAGTTGAAATTTGGACATAAAACATATTGCCATGGGATAATGCCTGCTGTTTTCCTAAAGTTTTAAAATTATCTTTTTGACATCTCAAATAAACATTTGTCTATTGACAGGGCTCCTTCCTTGGGCACAATAAATTCTAAGATGTTCTGGTTATTATTTTCTCAAGGATTCTGACACTGCCCCCTTACTAATCATATTAGAGCCAAGTACGGAGTAGTGAACAAGTTCTGATAATTTGCAGGTATATTACTTTGGGCTGAAAAAAATCTAGCTGATGTCATTGGTCTTGTTGGGATCTGTCTTCAGAATGCAATTGGAGTGCATCTCTTAACCCTTACTTAAGTATCACTGAAGTTCTCTTTCTTCAGCTCCCAGATGCTCCGTAGCCTGCTCTGGCCTGTGAGGTCATGACGTCCCTTTAAGATGTTATAAGTTGAACACAGTCTTCTTTCCATCCCTCTGTAACATGTCTTGGGAAGAAGCCATATCCTTCTCATACCTTACGTTCTCATTCAGACGCTAGTTCTGTCAACTCTCAGAGGTGCATAGAAAGAATTATTATTATTTTTAATTTTTTTAGCTTTTAATTTTGTGGTTACATAGTAGGTGTATATATCGATGGGCTACATGAGATGTTTTGATACAGGCATGCAATGTGAAATAAGTGCATCAAGAAAAATGGAGTATCCATCCCCTCACACAATTATCCTTTGAGTTGCAAACAATCCAATTACACTCTTTAAGTTATTTAAAAATGTACAATTAAGTAATTATTGACTATAGTCACCTCTTGTGTTATCAAATACTGGGTCATTTTTTCTATTTTTTTGTACCCGTGGAAAGATCATTTATTGCCCTTTATTAGCAGCTCATCTTTATCACTTATATTCCCACAGCTGTGGATACATTCGTAATAACAATTATTAGTGATGACATCTCCACATGATTTTCTTTTTAAATTATATGCACCTGTGTTGTTGTATTTTTTTCTGTGTCGTGTCTGATGTCTTTCTGCAGGACTTAATTTTGTTATTTGGTTTCCTCTCTTTCTACTTAGCAGTAAGTCTCAAAAAAATAGGTTCATCTTATTCTCATATTATATACTTTAGCCAAAAATCTATAGTTTAAAAATAGGTATTGAATTTATCACAGAAGTATAATTTAACTACATAGCAAGAAATTTAGAAATAAAAGGAAAGAGAACAAGATCATCTATCCAGCTTCCTCAGGGAAAAGGAGCTGATCTATGTTTAATCCCTTCTGTGTTTCCAGAGCTGTGTTTGTTGGATTTAACACCCATTATCTCATCTCAATCCAGCAGATCTCTTTGTCCATTATCTTCTCATATGCAGATTTTCCCATCCCATCTCCTTCATCTCTCCACATGTTTAAATAGTTCTTATATTTATTGTTGTAATGACTGTAGAGTAGATCATCAAATTAAGATGCTTAAATTTATGTAAACTTGAGCGGGCATGGTGGCTCACGCCTGTAATCCCAGCACTTTGGGAGGCTGAGGCAGGCGGATCACGAGGTCAGGAGATCGATACCATCCTGGCTAACATGGTGAAACCCCGTGTCTACTAAAAATACAAAAAAAAATTAGCCTGGGCAACAGGGCAAGGCTCCGTCTCAAAAAAAAAAAAAAAAACTATGTAAACTTTCCTCTAGGTCTTCATTTGTGTTGTGTCTTTTGTAGTTCTCATAGAATAAAGTCCTTGGTCCTGGTATGTTAAAATTGGTATGCTGTTGTTATAACTTTATATTTGTAGTGCTGTAAGTCACTTGAAAACACCAATGTCAGGAGGTATTCAATGTTCCTATGCTAGGTTTTCTTTAACAAGTCAAAATATCATCTGGAAGGAGAGACAACGTGTAACTCCTATCTCCTACCCCCTGTAAATTCTAATTTATAGAATTTAAACCTGTTTCTATGTGTCTTCTTCCAGGCCTCATCTGTTCCCACAGGTAGACTGTAGGAATTGTCTGTCATGTCCCGGGAACCAGACACTCATCAGCTGGTCATGCCAGCCTCTCTTCCTCACCCCAGAATCATCAGTCAGCAGGCAAGGCTCCTTTCTCGGGAGTGAGGTTCTCCTGTTCCCTCTCATCCCCATCTGCCGCCACACGTGGCTGCTGTGTGGCTCCCCGTGAGTGAGGTGCTGCTCCTTCTCCAGAGGTGTAATTCATTTTCCATGAGACAGACCTCAGTATTTCAGAAGAGTAAGCCTTACTGGGGCCTTCACACATGTGAGAAGCCTTCAGAGCAGAGACAAAACTTGAGTTGAGCCCTGAAGATAATAAGTGATGGGAACTCGCAGACAGGAGGGGCTGCAATGTCATCGGGTGAGCGGTCAAGGAGCGTTGGTGCATGCATCCCACATTCAGGAAACAGTGAGAAGACCACTCCGATTAAAGGAGGAAGCACATCTGAGAAATGTGTAGGGGATTTGGCTGTAGTGCAGAGAGTGACAGGAAACAGGCGATGGAAGGAATTGAATGCCAGGACCTGAAATTTGAATTTCAGGACAGGTGCAGTGGGGATCCATTGGAGCTGGTTGATATGGCTGTTTGTGTGACTTGCACTCAGCAATAGTTTAAAACCGTTTCTGCTCTGGTGATACGTAAGGTGTGTGTGTGGCTGGGGACAGTCAATAAGGAAGCATTGGCTGTAAGGATTAGTTAGGTCGTTAACATGAGGACCTACAGTGAGATGATGATCATGATAATGGAAAAGCTGCCATATACACACAAAAAGTACATAATCCTTGGCAATTTATTGGCTGTAGAGGGAAGATAAGGGTGGGGGCTCAGGACAGTGTACTTATTGAGCATTTTTCAGTTTCAGGTGACCAAAATCTAAGATCAAATAGACTTGAACAATAAAGGGAACCAAAGTGTCTTGATTGAAGCCAGGCTGAATTTAGGCAATCAGATTCTTTCATCAGCAGTCTGCCTCTTTCCTTCTTGCAGTTTTATTTTCGTCTACAACTGGCCTCATTCTTGGGCAGCTCTGTCTATGCCATAGCTTCAGGCATACCGTTTACCAGCTTAGAAGCGTGACTGTTTTCCTTTATTTCTGTTCTTAGCAATGTTGAGTTCTACAGATATTATGCCTTTATTTGTTTATTCTACTCAGTAGGATAAGCTTCACAGGAGCAGAGACTTTTTCTGTTGTTTATGGTTATATCCCCAGAACATAGGGGCATACCTGGCACAGTATAGATTTTCAACAAATATTTGTTGAATGAATGAATGGGTATTTCTCCCAAGAGTTCAAGCCGAAAGTCCCAGGTTCTGCTGTTATTCATTCGAAAGTCCCAGGTTCTGTTCCCATTCATTCAGCATGGGCTTCCTGACCATCCTGGAACCAGTCCTTTCCAGTAGGACAGGCATGGCATTCAGTTGCCAGGCCTGAGGCGTGTCCCTGTGCTGGCCCCAGGTGGTAGGGTGAGCCCCCTTCAGACCCCATGGAGTGAGATGTAGGGAAGACAGTGACTGAAGATAATCGAATGGAGATCAAGACCATGTAAAACAGAAGTTTTTATATGGAAAAAAGTAGATTTTTACATTGACCATTACTGCTTATGTTCACTGTGAGTAAAATGTGCTTTTTCCGAAGCATTCCCTCTAGATAGCAATGCACAGATCAATTCAGATTCATAACAAGATGAACTTTTGGTACCTTCTAAATAAAAGCTTTATTTAACCTCTCATTAAGATAATGTTAAGGTACATTAAGAACTGAAAAGACAGGTGATGAAATGGGAAGAATGGAATAGCGCCGTATCCAGATGAACATCCAGACGTGGCCTGAAGAAGGTATGGGCACCCCCTTCCCTGTTTGTGATTCGATTCCCGAGGCCGTGCTCCCTACTGACTCAATATGTGGAACCAGAGAGAAGCCTGCTGTGGAGTTAGTGAATTTGACCTAATCGAGACAGTCTGAGAAAGGACAGGAATCTTTTTTTTTCTTTTTTTTTTTTTTTAGAACAAAGAGGTTTTCTATACATCTGTGATAACACAGTAACCATCTGTTGAACTCTTTAATAGTAGGCTTTGTGTTTTTCTGATAATTCGAAGGTGGTTAAGGTGCCGTCCCCTCATATTAGCAGTTCGGTGGCCCCTTCCCCTCTCCTTCCATCCTTAGGTTCCGCCAACACAGTGGTTAGCTCCTTTCACAGTGAGGAGCAAGTGCAGCCACAAGCATGGGGAGAGCCACAGCCTGGCAGAGTGGCTTAGCATCACGAAGCCCTTCTGAGAAGGAATTGAGTATCTGTGTGATTCAAAGGGATGTTAATCGTATTTTCATTGGAACTCTCCTGCATTTCCCCTAAAATATCCAATATGTAATTCCATATAAACAGTGTGTTCATTTCCTATGGCCCTTGTGAGAATTGACCATAAACTGGCTGACTTAAAGCAAAAGAATTTATTCTGTCATAGTCTGGAGACCAGAAGTTCCGCATCAGTATCCCTAGTCCAAAATCAAGATGGGCCACACTCCCTACGGAGGCTCTAGGGGGACATCCATTCTTCGTTTCTTCCGGCTTCCTGTGGTTGCCCATGTGCCTCACCTTGTGGGTGCCTCACTCCATTTTCACACCCTCTTCTCTTTTGTGTGGGGCTCTGTTCATCCTCACCTTTATCTCTCTTACAAGGGCAGTTCTGATGGTATTTAAGACCCAGCCAGATAATTCAAGATAATTTCCTCGTCTCAGGGTCTTTGATCACATCTGGAGAACCTTACCTTCTGAAGTAACCTTCACAGGGTCCCGGGATTGGGGCATAGACATATCTTTGGGAGCCACTGTCAGCCTGTCCTAACACATGTAAGATTCATCTCTGATAAAGGCATTCAACCACAAGTGCAGTGTGGTTTGGTCTTTTAATAAAATCCTTTAAGTAATACTGTAATGAATTCGGAGCTCCATCCGGAGATGCCAGGAGGTGTCCTCATTTGAATGTAAAGCTCCTCCCCATAGCATCAGTTGTCACCCCTCCTTTTGGCTTTTCCCATTTCCTCTGCAGATACGGACAAAATCTGTCCATGTATTATACATGCATTCTTTTTTTTTTCATTCTTATTATCAGATCCCAGAATAATGAATTGCTGTTTGAAAATGCATGGTTTATGTTTATCTTTTCCAGAAGCACTTTTATACGCATCTCTCCCTAGTAGTGTTTGCTCTTTCAGAGGCTGGTTTTGTTCCTAAGCAATTAAGATGCTTCCCTGTGTTTTGGAATAAATAGTAGTATCTAAATATTTTGCTCTTCTGTTTATTTCCTATAACAGATATTTACACATCTCCCTCCCATGTTAGATTCTGGACTTCTTGAACCTAGAACCATGTCTCTCTTTATGCCCCATAATGCTTTGCACATGGTAGGTGCTCAATACACTTTTATTAAATAAGTGCAAGAATTAACATACTCAAATGAAATGCTGTTTTGAAAAGTATATCATCTCTGTCTTAGGTAAGGGCAATTCCTCAAATTGATTTTTTAATCATTTCATATTCATGTGGTAAAAATTGTCGTAAACTAGCACATCTGTGAATGCAATGTTGATTTGTATACAGGAAGCCCTTAGGCTAATTTTAATCTTCTGCTGTCTTTCATGAACATAATACTAAGAAATGGTTTCTGTCCCAAACCCTTCATAGGCACCATGCTGGGAATCACAAAGCATGCTGGGAATACTTGTCAAGGAGAAGTGGGAAGCTAAGAGTGATGCCAGGCAGGGGTCAGGGGACAAATCAAGACCATAGAGTGGGGAGAGAGGAACCTAGGCAGAGCTAATCGCCGAGACTAAATCAACAAGCCTAGGGAAGTGCAGCAAGCCAGAAACCCTCTGGTCTAGCGTGATTTGGAAAGGCAGAGCAAGTTCCTGCAATGCTCAAGTTATCAGGCAAAAAGGAGGAGCCTCCATCTCCTGTAGGCAAGTAGCCCGCAGTGATTCCCTCTGGAGGGGTCTACAGAGTGGGCTTTTTCCAGTTCATCACTACAGGTGTTGCCTTTCATGGGTCCTGGCTTCACGCAGGTAACTCTGACCTGAACACCTGGTGCATTTCACTTTTCCCATCCCCCACAGGTTCTGTGCTGGGGCACTGTGAGAATTTCTAGCCGCTATTGAGGTTTGGGCACACAATTCACACTACCTCTGTGTGTGTGCACCTAAAGAACCTAAGCATCAAATTGAGTTTAAAGTAGTGTTGGATGGGTGATGTACCCAGACATCTTGCAGAATTGAGAAAATGTGGGACATTAGGGAACTTTGAGGGCTAATGGACCTGTTTTATGTCTTCATTATGGTGGAGGTTACAAGGCTGAATGCATTTGTCAAAATGAATAGAGCTGTACACTTTAAAAACATCAGATAAATTCTCTGGAATTTTACTCTCTGTAAATTATACTGCAATGTAAATTTTAAAAATTGTAAAAAATTAAAAAAGGAGTGATGATTGCCATACATCCTAGAATATATTCATATATATTTTTGGACTATTATTTCTCCCAAGCTGCAATCTGAGTGTTAACCATATCACGGTATTTTTCCCGGCAGCTGACTGTGATGCCCCACTGGCCTCTGCCTTGCCTAGGTCATCCTTCAGCAGCTCCTCAGAGCTGTCCAGCAGCCACGGCCCGGGGTTTTCAAGGCTTAATCGAAGAGATGGTGAGTCTGCCTTTTTCCTTGTATTGCTCCTTGGTGACTCTCATTGGATTTTCATTTAACAAAATAATTATAATTCATTTAACAAAATAATTATAATTATAATTATAATTGATTAATACTTTGCAGAAGGAAGTAAAATTCAGAATAAGCATATTTGTTCACATTTGAAACTCCAAGAATGTATTTGACAGGAATAAGTTGATCACTTCGGCTTTCTGGTCCTGCTGGGTTTCCCTTGGTACGATCTTTGTGTGCCTTGAACATGTCACACCTGACTTTGACAGTGTTTGAACTCTTTGTATACCCCTTGCAATATCTGAGTATTATTTATCGAAGACCTTAGATTCTGTCATGTCCTTTTTTTTACCTTGGATTCTTTTGTTCTGCCACAGTATACATTTTGTTGTCCCAGATTATTTAATTATCCCTATTTGGATGAGAAAATTGGCAAAGTAAAGAAGCGTCTAAAAAGATTTTTATTATGTTTTAACTACAACTCTTAGTTTATTTCTTATTATGGCGGACTTGATTCTCTCCTTAGCATCCACTGTAGAGAAATAACCATGTAAAATGGTTTATTCATGCTCCACTGTGACTATTCTTTTGTGTGGGGCTCTGTTCATCCTCACCTTTATCTCTCTTACAAGGGCAGTTCTGATGGTATTTAAGACCCAGCCAGATAATTCAAGATAATTTCCTCGTCTCAGGGTCTTTGATCACATCTGGAGAACCTTACCTTCTGAAGTAACCTTCACAGGGTCCCGGGATTGGGGCATAGACATATCTTTGGGAGCCACTGTCAGCCTGTCCTAACACATGTAAGATTCATCTCTGATAAAGGCATTCAACCACAAGTGCAGTGTGGTTTGGTCTTTTAATAAAATCCTTTAAGTAATACTGTAATGAATTCGGAGCTCCATCCGGAGATGCCAGGAGGTGTCCTCATTTGAATGTAAAGCTCCTCCCCATAGCATCAGTTGTCGCCCCTCCTTTTGGCTTTTCCCATTTCCTCTGCAGATACGGACAAAATCTGTCACCCAGGCTGGAGTGCGGTGGTGCAATCTCAGCTCACCGCAAGCTCTGCCTCCTGGGTTCACGCCATTCTCCTGCCTCAGCCTCCCAAGTAGCTGGGACTACAGGCACCCGCCACCAGGCCCGACTAATTTTTTGTATTTTTTTTTTTTTTTAGTAGATACGGGGTTTCACCATGTTAGCCAAGGTGGTCTGGATCTCCTCACCTCCTGATCCATCCACCTCGGCCTCCTGAAGTGATAGGATTATAGGCGTGAGCCTGTAACCGCGCCCAGCCTTTTTTTTTTTTTTTAACTCCCTGTTGCATTTCTTGGTGTTTTCTGTATTTGAGCACATTTAATGCATTGCACATTGGACCAAATAAATATGTTCTGGCATTTGTTATAGGCAGTATGGCTATGAAACATGAACAACTTAACTTTTTGTTTTTCTGTTTATGTTTCTTAAGTCTGTGATTTCATTTGTTGCAGAGATATGGGCTCTGTTTTGTTACTTTAGATTCTATTGCTGCAGAGCCTCAGTGGATGGTCATTATCACTGAAACAGTGACTAAGCCTGGGCACAGGGGGTAAAGGAAAACAAGAGCAATCTCAAGCCATAGCTCTTCTTGATGTCAAATCATATTTTGTACTAAAGTACATGATTATGAGGATTCTTTATCATAGGGATCATTTTTATTCTTAGTTCATGTTCCTGTAACTCCTCGTGCAAAAAAGCATGATATCAATCTTAATAAAATTTATTTTCATGTTAATGAAGTTAGAAAAACAGGCTTACTTTAGTTAGCTATCAACTGAGTTTATTACAAATTCATTGTTGTTGCTTTTTTTAATTGGTTTTGACTTTTTTCTTCTCCCTCATGGTAGCCTGGAGTATTCATCAAAGGAGTTCCAAATTGGGAGTGATTTATTGAAGGCTATAGATTATCTCTAGTGTTTTATTATCCTTTATTAGATTCAGAATGGTCTATGGAAGAGTGACTGAACAAATGTTCTGATCATAAATAATTAAACTAACAAATAATGACCCCCTGTCTCAGACATTAAAGCCTTTCTCCAGTGGAGTGTAAAGATCTCAGAGCTAAAAATTAACAGGCAGAAAACAAGTAGTTTCCCTGTTGTGCAGCCCAGTGCCTTGTACCCATGTGATGGGAAGACGCCATGGAAACAGCTGCGATAGTTACTCAAGCCTTAGCCTGAGGGGTGAGAGGGGAACAAGGTAGCTATGCATCCCGTCTGTCCCAGTGTAAAGAATCAAAATGGACTTTTTGGAGGTGTCTTTCTTCATGCCTCTTGGATACCACAAGTAAACTAGTTCTTCCATGCCACTAAATGATGAACCCATGGGCCAAACAAGTTAATGCACTTTTATAAGCAACTTATTTAATTCCCTTTAATGGGGAAGACTCAGTTTTTCCACCAAAGGTTTCATAAGTTATGAAGCATAATCCAGAATTACTTTCAACTTGTAAAAATGTATTATCATGAATATTGCACAGATTGGATTATAACTAATTAAATATGTTTTTGCTTTCTACATCTTCATAGTTAGAATTTCAGTATAACCTCTAACATGGTATTGGCTAATTTGAGGATAAAGTGACCTGTTGTAAATTTATTTATTTATTTATTTATTTATTTATTTATTTATTTATTTATCGAGATGGAGTCTTGCTGTGTTGCCAGGCTGGAGTGCAGTGGTGCAATCTCGGCTCACTGCAAGCTCCACCTCCTGGGCTCAAGTGATTCACCTGCCTCAGCCTCCCGAGTAGCTGGGACTGCAGGTGCCCGCCACCACACCAGGCTAATTTTTGTATTTTTAGTAGAGGAGGGGTTTCACCATGCTGGCCCAGATGGTCTCAATCTCCTGACCTCGTGGTCTGCCCGCCTCGGCCTCCGAAAGGCGTGAGCCACCGCGCCTGGCCGACCTGTTGTAAATTTAAGAGGCTAAGGGTCAGTGTGCATTTCTACACCTTTCACATTGCATCACTTGAAGCTAAGAAGAACTCTGTGGTATATTACATGTAAAAATAAGACTGAAATAAGCTGACAAAGACTTAGGGCAAAAAAATAAGGTTTTGAGTAGAATTGAAGAAAACATTTTGATAATAATATCAAAGAAATTCCGAGATGCCATTGAAACCATTTAATTATTTAAACATGTTTGTTATTCCTTTTTCTGTAACTTCTTCTGACACTAATCGAAAATTTCAGAAAATTAACCTATAGTTTAAAATGTTTAAAATATGAGACTTCAAACGATACACTGGCACATAGTAAATTCTTAACATTTCAAAATGAATAATGAATGATCTGTATTAGGAAATGAAATCTTTATATGATACACACATACAGTTGTAAAACTTGGTTTTCTCCATAATCAATAATTGGCTTTCAGAGGCAATTTAATTATGCAATGGTTGTCCTTAGTTTTATTATACTTTATAATAAATGGATCGATGCTTTGTTTAGTTGACAAATACAGACATAGGTGAATTAATTTTACCTTTTTCCTTAGGCCTGTCTTCTCATGTGCTTATAGCTGTGTCTGTGTCAAATGAATTTGTGAAAATATAATCTCTTATTTTAGACAATTTCAACAATTAATAAACACTGTGAAGTTGTTATTCCATGACTGTTTGAGATGGAAAACCAGCCGTTTTGGGTATCATTCACATACTGGCTAAAGACATACATTTATTTATGCATTTGCTGCCCTGTGTCTCCTCTGCATTTATTATATTAGCAGTTTCAGTTTAAAGTTTATTTTTCTGTAATTCAGATTCCTTGCTTCTTATGCTGGTTGTCATATGAATATGCCTTTCTAAGATTAGGATAAAACTCTCTTCTTGGTGTTTTCTTTCAGTCCTATCTTGAGTTATTTTTAATCAAAATGCTAGGCTGAGGTCAACTGATTGTAATTTGTTTATAAGGAAAAAATGGAAGGTGACCTGAAGAATTTTCTCTCCTCCCTTTACCCAAAAGTATTTATTCTTATTTTGAAATGAGAAATTCCTTCAGAATTTCCCAAGATCAAAGAGGGCTATCTCACTGACAGCTAAGACCCTGTTGTCTTCATCTGTAACTTGGCTAGTCTTATCCAAAAGAGGCCTCTTCTGGGTTGGAATTGCATTTAGTTTTAAATAAACAATTATGCAGAAAGTGCTTCTTCCATCTTATTAAAATTTCAGAGTTAGAAGAAAAGGCATCTGAAGTTTCCAAGTAGAACTATAACAGACCTAGTGTTTTTTAGTATCCCCATAAGTAAGCATTCTAGCATAAGGGAGGGTTTGCTGGTTGCTCATTGAATGTTGTCTTGGCCACTCACAGACCAACACATGATGAGTGTGAGATAAACTCTTTGGTCTAAAGAGAGAAAACATAAGAGTCTGCAGCTGTAACATGTCTGCTGACCCAAGCTGGAATGCTTTAGTGTATTGTGTCACCTAGTGAGTTTTAGGATTTCCCTCCCCACTTATGAGTTTTCCACCTCAGGTTAAAGGAATGTGGGATATTAAGGAGAATTATTAAGAGAGAAAGGGCAAGCATTTGGAAATGCAAAACCTAGACAAGGTGGAGATGATTTACTGGAGTCAGAGAGGAATTAATAGCGTATTAATATCAACATCATTATGGCCCACATGCATCTATCATGCTCTCTAGTATTGTGTCCAAGGTCCATAGATGGTCACTGTCTTATTATATCCCTGATCATACTAGCTTCACCAGACTTTCAGGTCACCCAGGGGCTACATCTCTTAGACAGCAGAATATTAAGATAATGGAAAACAATAATAAGTTATGACAGTGTGTGAAAAACATGAAAAAGATTTTATATTCTCTCACGATAGATGTGATTCAAGATGCTACTGCAATAAATTAAACAATACATATGCTTTTTTGCAAGGATAACCCCATGTGTTTTCATGGTCTAACGAAGTTAGACAGCATTGTTATTTGTGGCTTGACACCTCTGCAATTGCTCCTTTTTAAAGTCGCAAAATGAATGTACAATAACTAACCATGCGTTAGACCGAAGGAGAGTTTGAGAATTTTTTCAAGGGGCCTTCACTAATGAAGCAAGCTGTCTCATTTGGGGATCTGTAAGCAGCAAAGATAAACATTGCCTAAGACATTTCTGTTGAAATGGCGTAAAACACATGGATTACTTACTTCTTCAGGGATTTTAAATACTTGGAAACAATGCAGTGAACACAGATATTACTGTGAAGAACATTTCAGCAAATGAGTTTACAAAATGGATGAAACCGAAGAAGCGTCTTATGTTTATAGCTTCTCACCTGAAGAGATTAACTATATGGGTGGACCTCATCAACGTTTGAAACTTTCTTTCCAAGAGGTTTTTCCTGTAGAATTTTAGGACTTTCTGGGAAGATGCATGACAGATGCATGCCATTGTTGATGGTGTGGGTCACTGTGGAAACTGCCCTAATGAGGCCATTATGCTGCCTATTTGTGATATTTGGTTATGAGTTGATGACAATATTGTAGATAAAATAGACACTCAAGCTGTTGAAAAATTTTACAGGTTGTCATCAATTATCACTTAGAACTTTTTTCTCAATTTTCTGAGTGAATGAGGATTGTGTTTAAAAAGATACTTTCTGCCTCATTTCTTCTCCAGTTATTTTGAAAAAGCTCAGGTACTGATTTCTTAGGAAAAGAGGAAAGCAGGGAAACTAGAGGCGGGAATTTGTGCTGCACACAACCTAGCCACGAATCTGGGTGCACCAGCCCTTCGGATCTGGGCAGGTAAGCATTTGCCCAGGTATCAGGCTGCCTGTGTGGCTCCACAGAACAAAGATGGGGAAGCAGAGGCATCAGCTTCTCTTATAGCACAGCACACAGCCTTCCAGGAGTGGATACACACTTTCTTTCTATTATTAGCCCAAATAATTATCTCAACTCAATAGAAAAAATAGCAATCTGTGCCTGATTGTCCTGAAAATGTTTCATTAATTTACTTGTATTCAGTGAATATAAAACCATAGTTGGTGGTTTTTCAGTAAGTACAGAAAACATATTTGGTGGGTTGTTTTCCATGCAGAGTGTAAATATTGTAGGGCCAAAGTCTTAGTTATCTGTTTTTTTTGCTGTTGGTTTTTTTTTTTTTTTTTTTTTTTTTTGGAGACAGAGTCTCGCTCTGTCACCCAGGCTGGAGTGCAGTGGCGTGATCTCTGCTCACTGCAAGCGCCACCTCCCAGGTTCACGCCATTCTCCTGCCTCAGCCTCCCAGGAAGCTGGGACTACAGGCACCCACCACCACGCCTGGCTAACTTTTTTTTTTTTTGTATTTTTAGTAGAGACGGGGTTTCACCATGTTAGCCAGGATGGTCTCAATCTCCTGACCTCGTGATCCACCTTTCTCGGCCTCCCAGAGTGCTGGGATTACAGGCATGAGCCACCACGCCCAGCCTAGTTATCTTTTTGATGGAATAAAACTACAGAGGATAGATTCCAGTGTCAGTAAGACAAAGAGTTTCTGCTTCTCTGAGGAAGTAAGTTTGCTATGTAGACACACACACAGAGAAAATGGTCAAAAGTTGCTTTTATAAACTCCAATAATCAATTTTTTTACATTAGCACCTTACTCCATGAAGATCACAGTATATGAATACAAAATAATATGTATGAATGTTGATTTGTGGAAAAAAATCTTAGAGTTATCACTCCCTCCTTTTTCCAAATTCTGTGTATTGTCTGTTGAAACAGTTCATGCTTATGATTCTAATACATCATTTCCATGGATCTCCCCCTCAGCTTAGTCTCTTCATGTCTCACTTGGATTATTTTGAAAGTCCCATGATCGAACTTCAACTTTTGAAGCTTTCCCTAATTAAATAAATGCTTAGCAAAGTCCTCAGTTAATGTTCTTTAAAGTGCTATTCTCTTCTTGTTCCATGCTCAGTTGATGAATCTCAGACACTAACCCCATAGAGCAGTTCTCAAATTCACAAGCCACCTAATGCCCACTGCCATACGTAAGAAGGTGGTCTAGTAAATTTTGGAGTAAAGGCAATATATATTTCACAAAATCAAAATGTAAGATCAATTACAATTCAGCTAATATTTAATTAGGATATAAGGCATCTCAGTGAATGCATTTTTAGTTTCTGAAGTATGTAATTTTTTTTTTAGATTTGTACTTAGCTATTCTTACTAAATTTCGGAAAGTTCCTGCTTTATGGACATGAATCAGTGACTCTAAATGGTTCTTTGAGGTATAAAAACAAAGATAGTAACAAATACAAATTTCACAATCTGAACTAGAAAACATTACTAGTGACCACAACTCAAATACTAATATAAAAAGCATCTTTATTAACCTGGGGTAAAAGCTTCTCTGCGTGGGGCAATTTTACCCAGGCAACTGAACAGGCGGTGCGGGATGAATGTTTGAAAATTGGAACTAACTTGGACGCACTCATCCCCATTTTCCATGCCTGCTGTGCACTCCTGCCAGATGGGAACATGATGTCATATTTTCAGTCAGTTTTCAAACAAAATGGGGATAATCTAATATTTTCTGGAATAACCATAGAATAATGTTTTCCAATGTGAACTTGGTGAATTTTATGAATGAAAGAGAAGCAGATATTGGATCCACACAGCCATCATTGAAGGTGGTACACCTAACATCAAAAACTTCTGTGCGGGACCGGGCAGGGTGGTTCACGCCTGTAATCCCAGCACTTTGGGAGGCTGAGGCGGTTGGATCACCTTGAGCCCAGGAGTTGGAGACCAGCCTGGGCAACATCAAAACCCTGTCTCTATTAAAAAAAAAAAAAAAGAAAAAAAGTTTCATGCCGCTGTTACGGACTAGGAATGTCTAAAATCCATCACAAAGTTAGTATTTTGCTTGGAGGGGCAAGTAGAATGAGCTTTTGGAAAGTTTCTTTAACAATTCTTTGATCTAGTAATTCCTGAAAACCTTTGAGGCTGGTGAAAATACTTTTTCATGTAGGGATGAATCATTCTGTGAGTCCTGGCGTAAGTCAGCCAGAAACTCATGATGGGAGCTTTTGATGAGGGGATATGAGGTTTAAAAATGGAAATCAAAACTTTCTTCACGACACTGATAATTCCTATAAAGGCCATTTCTGTGTGGGATGACATGTACAATTAACATAAATGACCCTGCTTCCAAGCTCACTGAATTTTTTCGCCAGTGCCCTCAGACCTCCGTCTTTGCTCCTAACTCAGATTGTCTTGAGTCTTCTGTAGAGAGAAAAGGGGATCATTGCAGAGACTGTGAACCAAGGCATTAATCTTCACTTCTGAAGTCCAAAAGCATCTTTTGGTCTGAGGTAGAAAAAGTTTGAAAGGGAATTGAGCAGGCTAAAGGTGTTTTAATTTTTCTGCTATCTCGCAGACTAGGAACCCTCAGCAGGACTGCACGATAGGATGCATAGAGAGGTGGGGACTGCCCTGAAGCTCTGCTCTCAAGCAGAGCCTTGCCGGTGGTGGCTTAATGGAAGTCTTCACTGAAGCTCAGGGATCTGAGTGGGCACTCTCATGTGTGTAGTGGAAAGGAGGACGCCAGTCTCCAAGAGCAGCCTGCACGGCATCCTCGTTGTGCTGCGGCACATTCAGTGACAGGACTGGACGCCCTGCTGCAGCTCTGGTGGCCGGTGAGGACAGCCCCAGTTATCCAAGGACACCCTGAGGTACCAAAGGCAGGTGAGCAAGACCATGTTCCTGCCTGAGGTCTGGCAGAGGGAGGAGAAAGGGTCACCAAAACGTTGTGGAGAGCACTGTCCCAGCCTGGGATGGGAGGACTTGGCTCCATCGGCAGCAGGTCGCCATCCCTGAGGACAGTGCAGTGCTGACCTCTACTTGGGGCTTGAACACACTCCCCTCCCCGCTTTACCAAGGCAATTAGCAAAGCCAGAAGAGACCAGAGTTAACTCTGGGGATGAAGGGGAAGTAAAAGAACCCCTGAAGGAATTTTCAAGGGTCTGCGACCAATACAGACACGAACTGACAGGCTTATCCCTTAACTGGACAGAGACACCTGCTGTGACTACTTCCAGTCTGTGTATCAGCCAGAATTCCAGCTCCTACTAGAAAGCTTTCTGGGTTATGGAGAAATGAAGTTACATTTTCCCTCATGAGTTTGTGATTTAAAAATTTATACCTGCAGAATGATTCTGACGGATTTGCTCAAGTGGCTTTTGTCAGGGTTATAGTCCGTATCTTCTCTAGCCTCAAATTAATGTGATGTTGTTGAGGATGACTTAAAATTTTCTTTGAAAGTCTGAAACATGATGCAGAATGCTTGCACCAAAAGAGTTTTACATTTCCCCCACGCTTGTACTTACTAGAGCCAAGTACATCAAAGGTGTGGATTAAAACCCGTGATGCAGGGAACTCTGACACTTGTGATAACATGGATGAACCTGGAGGACATTATGTTAAGTGAAATAAACCAGGCACAGAGAGACAAATACCATATAGTCTCACTTACATGTGGAATTTAAAGACAGTGCTCACAGGAGTAGAGAGTAGCATGGTGGTTACCAGAGGCTAGAGGAGAGGGTGGATAGGGAAGGGGGAGATGTTGGTCAGTAGGTACATAGTTTTGGGTAGATAGGAATAATAATTTCTGTTGTTCTTTTGCACAGCATAGTGAATGTAGTTAATAAGTGTTGTCTGTTTTGAAATATATGAGAGGATTTTAACTATTCTCACCGCTAAAAGAATGATACATATTTGAGGTGACTGATATGCTGATTAGCCTGATTCGATCATTTTACAGTGTATGCATGTATCCAAACATCACATTGCACCTCTTAAAAATGTACAATTATTATTCATCAATTAAAAATAAAATTTAAACATGGGAGTTAGCAAACTTCTGCTGTAAAGAGACAGATGGAAAATGATTTTGGTATTGTGGACCATGTAAGGTCTCTGTTACATTTCTTTTTTTTCTTTTTTCTTTCTCTGTCTTCCTTCCCTCCCTCCCTCCCTTCCTCCTCCTCCTCCTTCCTTCCTTCCTTGCTTTTTTCCTTTCCTCTTTTTTTCTTTTCCCCTCTTCTCTCTTTCTCTTTCTCTTTTTGAAACACAGTCTTGCTCTGTTGCCCAGGTTTGGAGTACAGTGGCAAGATCACAGCTTAGTGTAGCCTCAACCTCTGTGGGCTCAGGTGATCCTCCCACCTCAGCCTCCCGAGTAGCTGGGACCACAGTCACATGTCATAACACCCAGCGAACATTTATATTTTTTGTAAAGATGGGATCTCATTATGTTGCTCAGGCTGGTCTTGAATTCCTGGGCTCAAGCAGTCCAGCCACCTCAGCATCCCAAAATGTTGGGATTACGGGCCTGAGCCACCATACCCAGCCCCCGCCCTCTTTTTTTTTTTTTTTTTAAACGCAACGCTTTACAAATGTAAAACCATTCTTAGTTCTCTGGCTGTGTAAAGCAGGTCATAATCTAGATTTTGGCTGCCAGACCTAATCTAGATTTTTACTAAGCCTGCATGCTAAATATGTCTGGCACTTTCCCTTAAAAAGCTCTCAGCATTTATCACATGCCAGTGTGCTTACTAGGTATTTGTATACTTTTCTTACGGTTTGTGCAATTCTAACTTCCTTGAAGGAAGTGTGCTATCTTATCCTTAGTGATTAGGGATAAGCTTGGAATCATCCAGGCTCTACCCCTTACTAGCTGTGTGACTTTGGACAAATTCCTTTATCTCCCTGAGTTTTTGTTTCCTCAGTTATAAAATGGGATTAGTAAAGTACCTATCATGAAATAGTTAACTTGAGTAAAATAGGTTGTGAAGATTAAATGAATTAATACACATAAAATAATTAGGTTATGTTACGCCAATGTTCAGAGCAGATGTATCCGCAAGAGCCAAAAGAGAAACAACCCAAATTTCCATTGATGGACAAACGGAGAAGCCTAGTGCAGTGTAGGAAGAAAATTCTGGCCCGTACTGTAACACAGATGAACTTTCAAGACATTATGCTAAGGAAAATAAGCTAGACACAAAAGGACAACTACTACGTTATTCATTTATATGAGGTACCTAGAGTAGTCAAATTCATAGAGACAAGAAATAGAATAGTTGTTGCCAGGGGCTGGTAATGGAGGTTATTGTTAGTGGGTTCAGCGTTTTCATTTGGGAAGGTGAAAGAGCTCTAGAGATGGATGGTAGTGATGGTTGCACAACGTGAATGTACTTAATGCTACTGAACTTTACATATAAAACAGTTCAAATGGTAAATTTCATGTGTATTACCATAATTAAAAAATTAGTATATGATCTGATCCAAAGTAGCTAAAATCTACTGAGTGCTGCTGAAGCAAAAATTATAATTAGTAGATTTTTTTTATTTGTTTTGTTTTGTTTTGGTTTTTGAGATGGAGCCTCACCCTGTCACCCAGGCTGGAGTGCAGTGACATGATCTCAGCTGACTGCAACCTCCGCTTCCTGGGTTCAAGTGATTCTCCTGCCTCAGCCTTCTGAGTAACTGGGATTACAGGTGCGCGCCACCACGCCTGGCTAATTTTTTGTATTTTTAGTAGAGTCGAGGTTTCACCATGTTGGCCAGGCTCAACTCCTGACCTCATGATCCGCCTCGGCCTCCCAAAGTGCTGGGATTACAGGCCTGAGCCACCGCGCCCGGCAATTAGTAGTATCAACAGTGGGAGTAAAAGTGGCAGTTAAGCACATTGTTTCACAACATCTAGCTCAGAGCCATGACAAAGCAAACATTAAATAATATGTATAGATGGAATTAAACTTAAGCTTCTGTAGTAGAATAATTCAGAATAAAACATGAAATAATGCCAGGTAATGTCAGTTGTTACCAAAGAAATGTCCAAACTCTGAAAGAGCTTGTTAAATTAGGTTATGGCAGCCCACGGTGCAGGGGAGGGGACCGTCAGGTGATGTTTAAGTAGTTTACATGGACTGAATCCCCTATGGTTCCATTTAAATTGGCCACCGCACTGCCAGGCATATGACATTGGCAACTTAAACTCGACAGAGAAACCTCTAAGAATAAGATTAATGCATTTCTCATTCTCTGTGTCACAATTATTCAATTTAAAAAAAACAGGAAAATATCAAAAATCTTTTTATGAAATGGCTGTACCAGTTTTACCTTCTATAGTATAAATGCAATATGGCTTTTGGTGCATTTAAATTAATTTTATAAGGAGTCGCAATCAGCTGATGAGTAGTTTTAGAATTGTTCCCATAATTGTCAACCTGGAGAGCTCTTCACTATTTTATTCATACTTCACTGAAAACTAAAGTTCAATTTTATGCCTAATTTTATACATAACGTGTTGTAAAACATCACCATTTGGGTGATGTGTGTATATGTGTATTTTCCTTCCAATAGGATATATATGTGTATTTTCTATTTTATAACTAGCTGACACAGGACCATTCTCATAATCCCATTTGATTTTTGTATTTGTCAGTAGATATAACAATCTCCCTTTGGTTCAGATTGAAAAAACGGAAAATGATGATGATGATGATGATGATGATTGTTGACTGTGCTGATAATTCTTTGTATACCATTATTTTAGCTTTAAGCTATTTTAAGTGTGGTCCAGTACAAAAGCTGCTTAAGTCAGATACCCCAGTCTCTATGATGTGATTATTATGTATTACATGCCTGTATCAAAATATCTCATGTACCCTATAAATACATACAACTACTACATACCCACAAAAATTAAAAATTAAAAAGGAAAATAAACCAGAAAAAAGTCAGATTTTTAAAAAATTTTACATTTCATTATATTTAGAAAACTTAGCTTTATGGGGTTTTAGAGAACATGGTTTTTCTTCCATGTACCTTCCTATTTATTTTTTATGATGCTCAAAGTTGCTTAGTTTCCACATATTTTAGTAAGAATTAGCAATGCCCTGAATTCCATAGCTTTCATAAAGAATTACCTGTGTACCATCTCATCACCACCTCTTTCCTATTACAGGAAAGCAATAAGAAGATATTCTTTAGTTAATTTAGATTGCTTGCCAAAATAGTTTTAAACTGATTTGTAATTTTTCCTAAAACAGAATGAGGAATTGTATAAAGTATTAATATATATGAAATTGTCACACTGCGTTTCAGATGCTTAGGAAATGTAGAGAAATTATTGTAAAATACATTTTAGAAAAGATATTGCAACAAGACGAGGACAGAAGTCTGTGAAGTGTTGTGAGGAGGGCCCAGGGAAGCAGGAGGAAGGTGGGGAGACCACAGGATGACCTGGAGCCAAAGAAGAAGGGCCCAGGTCCCAGGGTCTCTACAGCACTGCCGGCCTTCCAGCCACAGTTTTTCTCAATCTTCCTGTCATATCCCTGAAGGAAGTAAGTGGACATTGTAAAGAGCGAGTAATTATAGCACAGCAAAAATCAAAAGTCATGATTCTGGAAAGCATTATCAGTAAAAAATGGAGAAATAGTTGACATCTCTTCATGTTTCCTCTGGAAATTTCTGATTATGTATGTATACTCTTCCACTCTAATATCCAAACAACTCTCTTACTTCTTTATGCAAAGAAACATGAAAGAATGAAAAGGTTCATCACAAGTGTATGATTAATTTTGTATATATAATTTTGCAAATTAATAGATTTTAATGTGTTCAATAAATCTACATAAATACACAACACATATGTATATATCTGTGTGTGTGTATGTACTGTGTACTAAATATATACTATATGTGTGTGTGTGTGTGTGTGTGTATATATATATATATTTAGAGAGAGTCAGTGTGTACTTAATAGTCAAATCCAAATTTCAAGAACTTTATATTTTATATAATGGCACCAGTTTTCCTGAAGCTGAATGTATGTGTGTGTGTGTGTGTGTGTGTGTGTGTGTGTGTGTGTATTCAGTTGCAGGAATATATACATATATACGGTCAGTGTGAGTGTGTGTATATATATATATACACACACACACACATATGTCAGTACATACATGGTCAGTGTGTGTGCATATAAGCACACATATATATGTCAGTACATATACACATATACATATATGTTAGTATATACTGACTGTATACTGACTATATATAGTCATAGTCATATATACTGACTATAGTCATAGTCATATACTGACTATATGTGTCAGTATATACATACATATATATTTCAGTATATATATGTATGTATACTGACATATAGGTATAGTCAGATTGTGTATATTCAGCTGCAGGAAAATTGGTGCCATTATATAAAATATGAAATTCTTGAAATTTGGATTTGACTATTAAACCTGACTTTGTTGTCATTAAGTTTACATTGATATTTCCTGGAATTGCACATTGCTAAATTTTTCTGCAAAACCAAGATTTCTAAAATATGATGGGGCATTTGATACAAGAAAAGGCAAATAAAGAAAAAGTAGAGCTCCATTTGTCATTCTTCTTAAGTGTCTCCTTAAGAAAACTATGTGATCCAAAGTTATTTAGACAAAAGCTTAAGAAATAAAACACTTAGTAACTCATGCTAGTACTTGATTGTTCTTTTGCTTATCAAGTTTTCTTCTTTTTATGATTATTATACCTTTAATTGCGAACATTCATTGGATTGGCTCAGTAGCATTTTATGTGAGACAACTTTCCATTTTAATAAGTACATATTCTCCTTCGTTAATGTGAAATAGAAGTGCAGGAGTAGGGATGAAATGGATAATTTTGCTAGAAGCAAATTGAAACTGGCTAGGCAAAAGCGTATATGTATTTTGCCCTCTTTTTCTGTTTTTAGAAAGTGCTTGCGTTAACTCTCATTCTCAGCCAGAAGCGTTAATGATTCAAACGGGCTTTATATATTGAAAACCATGAACTCTCACGTGCAGAGTACAATCAGGGAGCAAGCCCGTGGGTTTGAATGGAAATTAACGTTGGTGTATGGGAATGAATTTCGTAGACAAGGATAATTTAGAAACCTGTGTGCTAAACTGCAAACACAGAGCAAATGGAAACATACTGGATCTTTTCCCTCCACTCCTCGAATTTCTCCACTATTCAGATGTCCTTCCATGTGATCATGCTTTCTTGGCACACTGACTAGGTTCAGTGATTAAGAGGCAGAGAAAATAATTACTGAATATTTTTAATACAAAATGAATAGCTCAGGATATTTGTAAGGGCTTTTCAATATCAAGATATTTATTTCCCACATTAGGAAGTATAACTCCTAATGAAAACTTAGCACCATAGTTTAAAATCATATTAATAAATAAAAGCAAAATTCTTACATTGGGGAAATGACCCACAAATGGTTTGTTATAGTATGCGATCTTTAACTACTTGGAATTTCCACTATTCTGCACAGTGCAATATCCCAAAACAGAATAGGATGTGAGATTTCATTGTTTTGTATGAGGAATCTAGAGGAAAGAAATTGATAAAAATGTATGCAATAATTTAAAAATATAAAGAGTATCAATCTCTGATAGAATAATGTAAATGTAGCAAATATTTAAGATAACTAATCTAATAAGAATTAAATTCCCCTACATTTTTCTTCTCCCCTCCCCTCCCCTCCCTTTTCCCCTTCTTTCCCCTTCTTTCTCCTTTCCCCCTTTCACCCTTTTTCCCTTTCCCTTTCCCTGAACAGCTGGGATTACCCTTGTCCCAAGTAGCTGAGATTACAAGCACCCACCACCAGGCCCGGCTGATTTTTATATCTTCTGGTACAAATGGGGTTTCACCATGTTTACCAGGCTGGTCTCCAACTCCTGGCCTCAGGGGATTCGCCCACCTTGGCCTTCCAAAGTGCTGGGATTACAGGTGTGAGCCACCACGCCTGGTCCTCATTTTTCATAAAATCAAAATTCTTGCGTATTCCCCTCCTTAGCTTATAGGTCAGAAGCTACACTAAGCTTCCCAATGTGCCTAGGTGTTAGATGTGCCAATTTACATATACAACAAAGGACCTGAAAAGTAGAACATTAATACAACAGAAAATATTTTGCCTGAGGATATTGTTTACTAAATTTTTTATCTGTGCCTTTTAATAGTTCTTAGAACTAGTAAGTCCAATGGCATTCTATTTTTATGCTTTTTTCCCTCAGATTTGTAGCATATGACAATGTGAATATGTTACAAATGTTGAATGATTTAGCTGACTACAGGCCAAACAAAATAGCATCAAGTTATCTATAGCAAAATGTGTTTCGGTTGAAGAAATATGTAGATTTTAAAGAAATTAATCTTATTTACTTACGCAAAGAGTATGCTTCAGCAGCATATGTAACTTTAATTAAAATTCATCTAAAATAGGTTGTTAGTACTAAGGAAGTGGCATTCAAACAAACAAAATATTCATAAGGATGTTAATATAGATTAGACATGAGAACAAATATTTGGCTGGTCTGATTCTCTTGGGTCACTTTAAAAATTATTTTTAAAATTTTTGAAATCGAGGCATAACTTAAAATACAATTAAATGCATAAAGTGTGCCATTTGGTTAATATTTACAGATGTATATGCCTGTATTACCAGAGCCCAGATCAAGTTACAGATCATTTCATCACCCCCTTACCATTTGTTAATACTTTTTATTGATTATCTAGGCACCTCCTACCTATCACTGTTCTACTTTCTGTCATATTATTTAGGTTGGCTTGTGCTTTTGAACTTACAAAAAGTCATACAGTACCAGAATCATACAGAAGCTTTTGTATCCAGCTCCCTTTAGTGAGCATAAGGTTTCTGAGATCCATCCATGTTGTTGCGTGGATTTGTGGCACATTTCCTTCTATTGCTGAGTAGATTTCAATTGTGCTGTTTGTTTATCCATTCTTTTTAAAATGGACACTTGTGGCTTGTTTCCAGTATGGATCTATTATGAATAAATTTCTACAAACATTCTTTTACATCGCTTTTGGGAGTGGAATTTCAGTATGTGAAACTCTAAAGAAACTGTCAAACTATTTTCAAAAGCCCTTGAACATGTTATACTCCCATTGGCAATGTGTGTCAATTCCAGTTGCTTCTTATCCTGGTCAACATTTGGTATTAAAATCATTAACCATTGGAGAAATATAAGTTAATATCATAGAGAGATAATATGTTCTCTAGGATGGCTAAAATTAAAGAATGACAACACCTGTGAACTATATTACTCATGGCACCACAAACAACAACATGAGTTTCAGCATATTTGTATCTGTCTCCTTTGCCCCTGAGGCCCACAGTGGCAATGCAATAGGGCACGTATGAATATTACACTCATAGCAGACTTGTATTGCAGCTGAGAAATAATGAGCTGGGGGAATCTACTGCAGTTATAGCAAGTAGTAAGTGAGAAGGCTTTTTGTGTGGAAGAAAATGTAACCTCACCTCTCAAGGTTAACCAGCTGCATAAACAACCATGAAAAAAGGGTCCATAAAAGAGTTTTTAGGCCTTTGTAGTCTTAGCAGACCCAACAAAACATGTAGGAGTGCAAGCTGCTTAAAGTGGACTGTCTCTCCATACATGATTGTGTATGGATAACATGATCCTATATGGAGATCTTCTAAGAAATCTAGAAATCTAAAAGACACCAACTAATAAGTGAATTTTAGCAAGTTAACAGGATACAAGGTTAATATACAAAAATCAGTTCTTTTTTATGTAGTAGTAACGATCTGATTATCAAATTAAGAAAAGAATTTCATTCACAATAGCATTAAAAAATAAAATACTTAAATGTAGATCTTACGAAAGGTGTGCAGGACCTGTTCATGGAACACTATAAAACATAGCTATTAGAAAATAAAGAAGACTCAAATAAATTGAGAGACACACTATGTTTATAGATTGGAAGAAACTGGAATTGTCCTAATTGTAATAATCCTAATTGTCATACTTTGTTGGTGGGAATGTAAATGGTGCCACCACCTTGGAGAATAGTTTGGCAGTTTCTTAAAAAGTAAAAGCATGTACTTACCATATAAACCAGCAATTCCACTCCAAAAAATATATGTTCACTCTAAGACTTAAATGTTCATAGCGGCTGGGCACAGTGGCTCACACCTGTAATGCCGCCAGTTTGAGAGGGCGAGGTGGATGGATTATTTGAGGTCAGGAGTTCGAGACCAGCCTGGCCAACATGGCGAAACCCCGTGTCCACTAAAAATACAAAAATTAGCTGGACGTGGTGGTGCACGCCAGGAATCCCAGCTACTCGGGTAGCTCAGGCAGGAGAATCGCTTGAACCTGGGAGGTGGAGGTTGCAGTGAGCTGAGATTGCATTGAATCTTGGCCTGGGCAACAGAGCGAGACTCTGCCTGTTGTAAAATGTAAAAAAAAATGTAAAAAAAAAAAGTAAATGCAAAAATGTAAAAAATGTAAAAAAAATTTATATATATATATATATATTCATAGCAACATTATTCATAGTAGATGATATGGTTTGGCTGTGTCCCCACTCAGATCTCATCTTGAATTGTAGCTCTCGTAATTCCTAGGTGTTGTGGGAGGGACCCAGTGGGAGATAACTGAATCATGGGGGCGGTTCCCCCATACTGTTCTCGTAGTTGAGAATCAATCTCACAAGGTCTGATGGTTTTATAAGGGGGAACCCCTTTTGCTTGATAGTCATTCTGTCTTGTTTGCTGCCACGTAAAATATGCTTTTCGCCTTCTGCCATGATTGTGAGGCCTCCTCAGCCACATGGAAATGTGAATCCATTAAACCTTTTTTCTTTATGAATTACCCAGTCTCAGATATGTCTTCATCAGCAGTGTGAAAATGGACTAATACAGTAGACAAAAACTGGAAACAACTCAAATGTCCATCAGCCACTGAATGGATAACCACAATGTGGCATATTCATTGAACTGGTTGCTATTTAGTAATAAAATTAAAGCTACCGATAGGCCATGATTTCTTTATGTACTTAATTGTTCCTTAATGTTACCAATTACTCTTAATGAAGAATGCCGTCCCACTCCTCTCTAGGATTTTCGCATCGCTCTCTTACAGTTTGCATTCTTCCTTCTAAAAATGTTGTCCTTTCACTTTTTTCCTGTTCAAAAAAATCCAGTGATAACATGTGACAGCTCAACTGTCATGCAGTTCTTGGCAAGAAAGGTGAGGTTGAATAGGAAACTTCCTATTTACCAGAGGCAACTGGAATCACTCAAGAATAAAGGGACACTGTATTCACCATCATATTGCCAGCTTCTGCTCCGGAGAGATGAAGTACATGTCTTTAATATATTCTTCCTGATAAGTACATTTTAAAAGGCACTTTATATATAAAATAAACATAAGAATGAAAAATTGTAGGGAAGACAGACCATCTAGGAACCTGAGGAATTGAGGAAATTATAGAGATAGAAAACAAATTAGTGGTTGCTATGTATAACTGTAAAGGGTACCAATGAGGAGGATTGTTGTGGTAGTGAAGTCGTTCTCTTTCTTGATTGTGGTGGGGGTTACGGACCCTAAACGTGTCATACAACTACATAGACACATCGTTTCCTGGTTTTGATATTGTACTGTAATTTTATAAGATGTAACCATTGGTAGAAACTAGGTGAAGAGTACACATCACTTCTCTGTACTATCTTTGCCAATTGATGTGAAGCTATATTTCAAAATAATTTTTTTCTTAAATAACATTTAATTTCTGACTGGCAGTTTAATTTGTGCTTCAAAACGGATTCAAAAGGACTATGACCAATGATGAAAATGGTAAATTACAACAGTTGGTCCTATAACCAACTCTCCTACATTAGTTATTAAAGTCAGTGTTAACGGAGGCATTCCAGAACTTCTGTAGGACATGGTGCAGATTCACCTATTTTCTTTCACATTAATTTTTGCCAACTGGATTTTTTTAGGTTGTCATATTTTTTCCAAAGAATTCAGTGGGACAAACTTTAGCAGAATTCTGACGCCCCACATTGTACCCGATGTGTGCTTGCCTCTAAAAAAATTTCTCTGTTAATAGCAACTTAAAATAAACATTATTGTAATGTTTAGAGGACATTCCTTTTGCATCATATTTTGATAGTGTCCTATTACATGCAATAACAAATGCATGTCTCTTTTCATACGAGGCTTTCACAGCAATTTCATAAACTATAATTAGTTTAACTACATAATATCCTTAGGAAAAATGTAAATATTACCATCTCTTTTTTTTTTAGGGGGTGGGCTAGGGGATTTTGGTTGACTGAGCAATCAATCACATACAGATGGATAATTTGGTATTCACTAAAATATTCACTTCTCAGCATTTCACTCTCGTGTTTCCTTGCATGATATCAATTGTCATTTAATAAGAAAGACAAATACACGTGTTTAATCACTCCCTGAAGAAAGTAAACACACTATCTGTGGGAAATGGAACACAATGAGAGGCGTGCAGTCAGCCTCAGGGTGCCCTGACTCCATTCCAGCCCTCTCCTCATATGCCCCGTTTGCACATCACCCATCACTTTTGCCTAATTGTTTCTACTCACCAAGTGAAGATAATGGCTTCTTTGCCTGCTCAAGTGATAATTTGAGATTATATGTCTCATCAGATAATTTATTGGATGTATGAAAAAATGCACAATGATGGTTTTATTGAATTATGCAGTTAGTTACCAAGATGAATGGAACTACACCTACCCAAAAATCAAGATGTGGTGGAGATAACGGAGGTTATAGGCTGAGTCATTTAACCTTTAGGGCTCTTTCTGATGTTTTCTGTGAGGGCCAAATAGAGTTCTCAGTGGAGTGCATGTGAGTTTCTGCCAATGGCCAGTGGAGCAAGTGCCTGCAAGAGGGAACACTCCCCCAACTTCTGGGGTGATAAAGGATTTCTCACTGTCCCACCAGCCTGCACAGTAGGTTTCACCATTTTGTTAACTATTCCAGCTGAACTTTTCTTACTGACCTCTGGTTTCATCTATGTAAGGTGAGATCCTGCTCACATCTCTCCCTGTGAGGTTCATATCTCTTTAGATTTTAGGCTAGGTGGTGGTTCTGCAAGCTCAACTCTCCAATGCATTTGTAAAAGATCATGAACTTGAAGTTGGTTGTAAGGGTGGAAATGAGGCTCCTTATAGCTTTCTACTTCCTGGGGCAGAAGCCAGAAGTTCCAGCCCATAGATTTTGATAAGTTGTATTTTCATTTTCATTCAGCTTGAAATACTTGCTAATTTCCCTTTTAGTTTCTTCTTTGATTCATTGATTATGAAGTATGTGTTATTAGTTTCCTAATATTCCTGGATTTTTCAGAGAAGTTGCTATTGTTGATTTCTTATTTTAATCTATTGTATATCACAAAGATATACTTTACATGACTTAAATGATTTTAACTTTGTTGAAACTTGTTTAATGACTCGTTTAATGGTCTATTTTGGTAAAAGTTCCAAATGAACTTGAAAAAGAATACATGTTCTTCTGTTAGGTGAAACATTCCATAAATATCAATGAATCATATAGGTTGATAGTGATAATTAATACTTCTGAATCCCTATTTTCTGTCTTCTTGTGCAATCAGTTACCGAGACGGGGTGCTAGAATCTCCTACTGTCATTGTGGATTTATCTATTTCATTCAGTTTTACTAGGTTTCATTTCATGTATTTTGAAGCTCTGTTATTAAGTGTTTGCATGTTTAGGATTATGTCCTATGATGAAAGAACATCTTAATCATTACGAAATAATTTTCTTTACCTTTTATAATAATTTTTGCACTGAAATCTACTTTAATATAGCCAATCCAGCTTTTTAAAAAACTATTATTGGCATAATATATATTTTTCCATGTGTTTACACTTAGGCTATTTGAGCCTTTTTTATTTAAAGTGTGTTTCTTGTAGGCAACATATAGTTGGATCTTGCTTTCTCATCTAATCTGACCATCATTGCCATTTAATAGGAGTGTTTGTACTACTTGCCTTTAATATGATTATATGATTAATTTTAAGTCTAACATCTACTATTTGTTTTTTGTTTATTCTTTGTCCATTTTCAAAGCTACTAGGGAGTGTAGATGCATTTTGTAAGAGAATACATTTTATAAATTGTTATATACACTCTGAGATTTTAACCATAATTGCAGTACTTTTTTTATGAACACATTTTTAGTAGGCTGAATATTCTTTCTGCTTCAACCTGCTAAGATTGAAGGAATTACTGCTGAAATAGAACATGTACACAAAGACAGATTCTGAGGGAGGGTTTCTGTATTTTTTACTTTAAAACAGCATAGTTGAAAAAGACTGTAGTACCTGATTCTATATCTGTGTAGTTAGCCCTTTTTTTTCTAAATGAAATTAGATCTCAGGTAAATGTTTAAATTACCCTCAGCAAAAAGGCAGACCTACTGACAAAAAGCATGGCTGTTTAAAGCCTATAAATCTCAGAAGTGGAATGAGGGAGTTGATTTAAAGCCAGCTTCACTCCTCTTCCCTATAAATTACATATAATCACACTGGAGTGTAGGAGCTGTGACAGTCCCTACCTCACATCTCACTTCCCACCTCCTGCTCACCCCAGGGAATACCTGAAATTTTTAATGTGAATTAAAATGCAATTAGATGAGGAAAGAAACAAATATATCTGGATAAAATCACATTTGAAACAATTTGTTATCTTAGTGGGAAGTGTCTCGTGGGGACAAGGTTGACTTAACTGTGTGTTTGCTTGGTATACAGAAGTCCCTAATAGTGGCTGGCTTTGAACATTTACTTTGTTTACTTATATTTTGTGCCCTCAACATCAAATTTAGTTAAGGAAGGTATAAGATTATGGTGATATGATGATAATTGTAATGATGATGATGATGATTTACCTGTGCATTATTTCCCCTGTAAACAAAGTCAATACATACTCTGTGACAGTGCTGTCACTTATGACTAGATACTATAGTCATGGGAAGTTTTATTGTTGTTAGTCAGAAATAATTAAGGCTCCAGCTGTAGGGTTTCTACTTTTCTTTCACAGAGCCCCCTGCCCCAGATAGTGAAATGTAACTTTGACCTGATGTAAGTGCAGAATTATAACAAACAGATATAACTGTACAAAATAGAGACATAATCATGCCAGATTATTCATAACCAAAAAGTACTAAGTGATTGACAAATCATGTGAATATATTCATGGACAGGGATAAAAATGAAACATAAGCTGATTTTAAAAATAATATCTTTCCATGTGTTTTAATTAGTGATTTTATTTTCTCATCTGTAAGGTAGATACGATAAAGACAACCCACTGAATGCTTTTAGAAATAAAAAATGATAATATGCTTGAAAATATCTGGTCGAATTCTCAGCATACAATATATGCTTCAGAGTTTCTCACTTCCCCCTTTTCCCTTGTTTTCCATTACAAAATAAGTGGCAAAACTTTAATAATTTCCTCAGAACTTGAAAACTTAAAAGTGGATAAAACGGTTCATAAGATAAATCCTATGTTGTGTGAACATTTAGGGACAAAACAGTTAGCGCAGCTCAGCATCTTCACTGTGGTACCAATATCAACCTTTATAAAAACGAATTACCCTTTAAAAAATAACATCTGCTGTTCCTCAAGCCATATAAAGTGTAAGAGAAAGTTTCAGTTGCTCAGCATATTTTAATCTCATTCCAGTAATGGAACATGTGTGTCAGAACATATATTATGAATGGAGGGGATGAGTTTTCATAATTCATAGGATCTGTGGGGTAGAATTGTGACACTTTATTTAACTCAGGTGCAATGTCTTGTCAGAGGCAGGGGGAGGAGGGTGAAGTGGAGAAGAAACATTTGTTATGGGGGAGAGGCTGAGCTTAGAGGACATAACTGCTTCCCCTGTTTTGTGTACAAAGTTTTGTTGACCATAGACTAGAAGGGACTATGAAAAGACACTTCCAGGTTGAAAAGTAGTCAGCACATGTATAATCTTGACTTAACAAATAGAAGACTTTCATTTGTTTTAATTTAAAGACAACAAAAATTGAGTATAACATCACATTTGAATAATAATTTAGTTACAAAGTGCTGTAGTTTCAGTTATCCCATTGTCTTCCTTACAGTCTTGTGACGTGATTTATATGACTGTTAATCCCCCCACTCCCAACTTTATGCTTTTCTTTTTTAAACAAAGGACAACATTTTTGTCTCAGAGAGGCTGAGTGACTGGACAATTACTACACTCTAGTTGGGGGTGGAGTCAGCCAACCTCCTTTCTCTTTCTGTTACCCATAGTGGCCTTCTATACCAACCATCAAAGCTGCCTTTAACAAAGGCACACAGACTAGTGCTATCCAGCAGTGCACAGGTCAGTCACGCTGTGTTTCCCACCATTTCCACTCAGCGTTTAATTAAATTGTGTGCACAGCAGCTTACCCTTAAAACGCATCTGGGATTGCAGATTTCCTGAGGCTACAACATCCTGATGAAATTCTTTGGTAATGCCAGAATTTCATTACTTTATCAGTAATGGCTGAAAATATAGCTTATTTGCATTTGAGTACTACTTCATCAAAGGTAAAATGAAGTCACTGAAATGTGTCATCTGTTACCAGGAGTGCAACCATGAACACCAACAAACTAACAAACTGTGAGGGATGCCGAGAAGAGGGATGGCCAGCGGCTCCCTCTTCATCTGATGAAAACACACCACCCCAGGGTAGCACACCAGAACCGTGTCAACTCATTTTCCTCCTTGTGCTTCTCCACATGTGTTCTCATAGTAATTACTTTTCTAAACCTGGAATGAGAGGGAGTGAAAACACCAAAGAAAGGTTATGAAATACAAGCTGAAGAGGATGCCCTTAACTAAGATGAGGGGAAGAACCAAAAATATTGAATAGTTCCTCAGAAGTTTCAGCTCTGTGTATAAAATTCCCAATGTACAACATCCAGCCTAAGATGATGGGTTGGCTGTTAGCATCTCCCTCACCTTCTCCCAACTCTTTTAAAACAGCCATAAAATAGGCTGGGCCCAGTGGCTCGTGCCTGTAATCCCAGCACTTTGGGAGGCCGAGATGGGCAAATCACTAGGTCAGGAGACCGAGACCATCCTGGCCAACATGGTGAAACCCCTCTCTACTAAAAATACAAAAATTAGCTGGGCGTGGTGGCACGTACCTGTAATCCCGGCTACTTGGGTGGCTGAGGCAGGAGAATTGCTTGAACCAGGGAGTTGGAGGTTGCAGTGAGCAGAGATCTCGCCACTGCACTCCAGGCTGGTGACAGAGTGAGACTCCATCTCAAAACAAACAAACAAACAAAAAAAACAACAAAAAAAACCCCCATAAAATAGTAATAAGAAAAACAGAAAAGGATACACAGTTTCATTAGTGTTGTACCTAGGACTATTGGTTGCTAGTTAGACCAACCCCAAAAGGATCTCCCACCAATTAAAGTTTACATAGGCTTAGGAGAGAAGAGTAGATCTGGTGGAGTCAACAGGAAGGGCCAGTAGAGAAAAACCCATTGGCACTGCACCCTCAGCTTTCCGAAACCCAGACCTTGCCTGACCAGGAGTAGGAGAGGTTGCCCTGCTGTATGGGGGCTGCTGCCTTAGGTAGCCAGACCTGCTCACTCCCAAACGTCTTTACATCTTTGTTACATTTATTTGAGAAACACCACATCCCACGATTATCATCAAAATAATATAATAGAAATATTTAATTGCACAGGTTCTGGATCCAAAGCTCATGGGCCCCTTGCTAGATGCGTAAACATAGGTGAGCTGCCCACCATATATGGAGGGTAGTAATGAGGCCTTGTCTTTTAAAGGTATGTTAGGAATTAAATGCAAAATTTATTTAAAGGGAACTCTTTGCCTGACCTAGAGTTCTCAAATGCTCGATAAGTGTTCATTGTTAAATTGAGTGATTATGGAAGTGGGTAGGTGGAATTCTGTTACATCCTGAAAAGTTAAGTTGGAAGGAGGAATGAGCAGAGAGAAGAAACTGTGGAAGTAGTTCCTACTGAGGGCTAAAGAAATCTGTGCACTGTCTCTGGCAGGGGCTCACATAAATATTGCTGTAAATCATCCAAGAATAAATATTGCCCGATCTAGGAAACCATGTTGCATGAGTGGAGGATGCCCCTGGTCTGTAGCAGAACATTTAACTTTGAACAAGAGCTGTGTCCACCTCCTAGCTGTCTGGATTAAGAAAATAAATGGAGTATTTTAGTGTCAATCAGATGCACAGTGTTGGTTACCAATAATTTTCCATCTTGTCTACTAGATCAAATTCCTGACTCTTCAATTCAAAACATGGAACAATAAAAAGCAAAACAAACAAAAATTATATATATGTCTGTGTACATACTATATATATAATATAAACTTTAGAGGTGCTTATCGTACATTCAGAGGAAAAAATATTTTTGAACAAAGATTCACTACAAAAATATCTTAGAATCTGACTTCTAAGAATCTGTAAACTTGGGAATCATAAGGAAACAGTAGTTAAGTGTGGTCATCAATTCAAATAGGTGCCTAATATTTATATTTATTATTTAAGTATGAATTGTTATTATTTAAATATAAATATTTATATTTCTCAACACTTCCCCATAATAACTTATATTAAAGTATAATGTCCTCACTTATTCGTTTTTACACCTAGCTATATTCTAATAATATCAAACTTTTTTGGACATGTAGTGAAGTACTAAAGACTTTACAAATGAGGACATAATGATAAACCCCTAATAATAAAATACACAGTATAAGTCAATGAATAATAATGAACTGTCTAGAACTTCAGACTTTCTATCAGAGCCTTCAGGTAAGTGGCAGCACCAGGGAATAATAAAAGTGTTCTGACTCCTCGGCTTGGGAATTGTTTATAGAGCACTCTCTTTTTCTAGACATTGATTATTAAAGAAGCTGTGGTTTTCGAGTGTCCCCTAATTCTATTAGACTAGAAAAATAACAAACATCAATAAAACATCAGCGGACATGCCTATGTTTTTGTTTCAGATTTGGCATTGGTCAGAGCAAAAAGCAAATTTTCTGCTCTGCACGCATCTTCTTCAATACCCGACAGTCTCCTTTTCCTTGTCCAAGGTGGATGAGCACTGTGTGAGACTTGCCCCAGTTTCCCTGCAGTACTGCCAGAGAGAGCAGAGTGCACCAGAACCTGCTTAGGACTCACCTTGACCATTTGCTACTCCATACCTTTTTGTATTTTTTTACCAATATCTCCTCCACACCCCAGTTCCTCGTAACCATCACTCTCCTCTGTACTTCTGTGAATTCAGCTTTTTAAAATTCCACATGTAAGTGGGATTGCCTCACAAAGCACTCTATGTTTTAACTCTTCTTTTACATCCATTTCTCCTATGAGACTGTAAGCACTTTGAGTGCAAGGTCAATATATTAACCGTCTTTGTTTTATCAGTGCTTAATGCTGTACTTCCTACTACTGGAATTTAGTCTCTTAGGTTGGCAAAGGGCAAATCTTGCACAAGGGCTATGAAATAACACTAGTTCCAAAAGTTGACAGGAATGCTCTAGTGGCCACCTGCATTAAACAAACATTTTCTGCAGTCAGTAGGACACCTGCCTTCTAGAATGTCAGGGGTCATCTAGCTAAATGTGAACACAATTTAGGGTTCATCCAGTCACATGTAATTCTTCTATTTTTTCTATTGTAAATCGATGATTTTCTTAATATATATTCATAATTTTATAGTTTTCTAATCTAGTAACAGCTATGTTTAAATAACTTCCTCCTCTACCATTTTTATACTTTTTCTGTTTCAATAAAGGAGCTGGTGGCTGGACTCCACTTGTGTCAAATAAATACCAATGGCTGCAAATTGACCTTGGAGAGAGAATGGAGGTCACTGCTGTCGCCACCCAAGGAGGATATGGGAGCTCTGACTGGGTGACCAGCTACCTCCTGATGTTCAGTGATGGTGGGAGAAACTGGAAGCAGTATCGCCGAGAAGAAAGCATCTGGGTATGTTTCTAATAATAATAATTGCTACCTATTGCTGCAAACCTATTAGAAAAACAGAATTTTAAGAATTACGTAGAAAAAAATGTTCTAAGTGAAAGTAAGATACCTATTTCATTGAAAGCATTGAAAGACAATCTTATATTATACCATTAAATAGTGTGGAAGTTAAAAAATAATACAAATCATATATAATTTATTTTTTCTGGGTTTGCTTAATAAAGTAATTTAACATTGCCTCTGCATTATTTTAGAGTGGTAGATTGAATTCATTTATTTTCTCTGATTTGATCTGATGTTTTTGAAAGACACTGAAATTTCAAAATGTAATAAATGAGCAGTTTCTGTGTGTATGACAAGCACAGGAACACAGACTTTGAACTTGAAGAATTGTGTGTCCTTTATTAAGCAGCCAGATTTAGTTTTTCTTGTTTTTTTTTTTTTTTTTTTTTTTTAAGAGACAGAGTTTCGCTGTTATCACCCAGGCTAGAGTGCAGTGGCACAATCTTGGCTCACTGCAGCCTCTGCCTCCCAGGTTCAAGCAATTCTTCTGCGTCAGCCTCCTTAGTAGCTGGGACTACAGGCGTGTGCCACCACACTTGGCTAATTTTTTTTTTTTTTTTTTTTTTTTGTATTTTTAGTAGAGACAGGGTTTTGCCATTTTGGCCAGGCTGGTCTCGAACTCCTCACCTCAGGTCATCCACCCATCTTGGCCTCCCAAAGTGCTGGGATTACAGGAGTGAGCCACCGCGCCTGGCCAGATTTAGTTTTTCATAGACTACAGATCTCTGTGACATTCTCTGAATCTGTAAATATCCTCATAACAGTGACATTATTTCTGTTTCTGATTATATGTCAGTGCCTCTTTGCCAGGGTAATCACTTTTTGTTTGACTTTTGCAGCTACTTGGGAGGCTGAGGTAGGAGAATCACTTGAACCCGGGAGGCAGAGATTGCAGTGAGCGGAGATCGCACCATTGCACTCCAGCCTGGGCAAAAAAGAGAGAAACTCTGTCTCAATAATAATAATAATAATAATAATAATAATAATAATAAGTATTTATTACATAGTGTTTGAAAGTAACCTGTATCTGTTTAAAATCTTGCTCTGCATTGATTAATAATGTTTAAAATGTTGTGGACAGTTTCCCTATAAAAGAGATGCTGTAAGAGAAGACTCATATAGAGTCTGCATCGTATTTGTAATTTGGCTCTTTCTTCCTCCTAAAAAAAAATACATCAATGACAGAGGTACCGTCAGCATTTTTGTTATCAAGTTAAGCAGTTCAGAGGGAAACCATAGCCAAGGCAATGCCATTTGCCAATTTTGCTTACTCTGAAAGGTTACTAGCCTGCGGGGAAAGAGCGTAAAGGTTAAGGTTCTTACTAATCCAGAACACTTAAAATGACAGATGTCAACTCTCATGATCTTACCTCGTGTAGGAACGTGTTGAGCTTCACTGGAACAAGTGATTTACTTTCCTGGTGCCCGCTCACAGTGTGAGCTTCCTTTCAAAGTCACTGTGCCTGCCTTTCATCCCTGCATCTCTATTCTGGGTTGACTTGTGGTTTCCCAAAAACATATGTTGGAATCCTAACTCCCAGTACCTCAGAATGTGACCTTAATTGGATATAAGGTTTTTACAGAGGTAATCAAGTTAAAGTGTAGTCAGGAGGGTTGACCCTAATCTAATATGACTGGTGTCCTCATCAAGAAGGACCTTTGGACCCAGAGACAGTTATACACACAGGGAACACAGTGCAAGGACACATAGGGAAGCAGCCCTGTGAGGAGGGAGGATTGGGATAATGCATGGACAAGCCACAGAACACCGGAGGCACCAGCAGCTAGGAGATGGGCATGGAACAGATCCCTCCCTAGAGCCTCCGGAGGCAGCATGGCCGGCAGACACCCTGATCTTGGACGTATGGCCTCCATCACTTTAGCTACCTAGTTTGTGGCACTTTGTTACAGCAGTTCTGGAAAACTAACTCAGCCTCTAAAGCCTAACTGTGCCTAACAGGACTAGGACATGAGGAAATGTTTCCTGAATGAATGAGGGAAATTCATCCTCTCCCAGGATGCCTTTTTTGAACAACCACAATGAAAATGGTCCTTCCTGGCTCTGCAGATCTCTAGGACTTGTTTTGGACTAAAACAATGAAATGTAGTGCTATGAGGGTTCAGGACTCAGCCTTCCATCGTTTTGAGCTAAAAGGTTTTTGGGGATAGGGCTTTATCTTTGCATCTCCTTCATCCTCCATCACTGTGACTGGCAAATTGTAACCATTTAATAGCTTCATTTCCTACTCTATGACCAACTATACAGAATTTGCATGGTGAAAAAAATGTTAATGCTACTGAAGAGAGAACCCACAAAACAAACCAGAGATGGTTCTTGTGAGTGTTCAGTTATAAGACACAGACCCGAAGAGACTTGAGAATGGCAGGCCTTGGAGAAAGCGTTACCTCGTGGGTTGTTGGAAAACAATTCAGGAGGATATTTCAGAAAGCAAAAGTAATGCAAACAAAACCATGGATAATGGATGAGATACACAACAAACAGTGAGCTGTAAGATGTGAAATGGCTGTTCAGACTGAGATGGAGAGAATATGGGGAATTTGCTGAAAGTTGTAAAATTGCAAAGAGAGAGGCTGTCAAGTTTGGATTATAAAATACCTATGTAGATATTTGAGTTTCTTTTTTTTAAAAAAACTTTTACTTTTTGTGAGTGCATAGCAGGTGTACACATTTATGGGATTCATGAGATACTTTGATACAGGCATGCAGTGCATAATAATCACATCATATAAAATGGGATATCCATCCCAAGTATTTATCCTTTGTGTTACAGACAATCCAATTATACACTTTTAGTTACTTTAAAATGTACAATTAAATTATTATTGACTATAGTCACCTTGTTGTGCTATCAAATCCTAGGTCTTATTCATTCTTACTATTTTTTTGTGCCCAATAACTATCCCCATCTCCTCCCCAGCCCCCCACGCCCCTTCCCTGCCACTGGTAACCATCATGATTCGTGTTTCTTGAACTGCTACATCAACATCTCAGGGACATATTCTCCATTTGTTTATTCATTAATCCATTCTTTTAGTAAATAAGCAAATAATTATGGTAGAGGTTAGTAATATACTCTTGGGAAATGTGAGCTGAGTCATAGTTATCATATTCTTCACTAGGCATGTCCCTTGTGTCTAGTATTTTTCCTATCAAAGCTACTTCTGTAGAAATAAATTTCACTGACTGTCTCCTATTTATCATTTTCTTAAAAAGATGGGCTGATATTGACTGTCCTCCAGTCTTATCATTGCTGCCTTAACAATAAATTACATCTCTTATTAGAGTTTCTGCCCTTTACCAAGGCATTAATTTTAGAAATGAATGGATGATATTAAAATAACTTAAGATTTATTTTTGATACCTAAAATATTAACACTCTTGATTAATGAAAATTATGTTTTTATAGGCTTATTATCTTTCCCAGCACATTATTATCTTTATTATTATTATCTTTTCCTGACCACAGCTACATCCCCTGCCCTCAGGGTCATCGTATTAACCTTCCTGTACCAGGAGAACAGAATGCATTTCCAGCTCTCTCCTAGGGATCCTGCTGCCTCTACTTTTATGTTAAGGACACGTTAAAAATGCATTCTCCAGTCTTATATATTTCTTGTATGCTCTCCCTCTGTCTTTTTATGGCTTTGTTTTTTTTGGTCTGGTTTTACCCATTACCTATGCTAATGTTTTCTATTATTAAAGATCCACAGTTGCTTATCTGCAATTTTTAATTCTAAAAGCAAAATTCTTAAAATGGTGAACCCTAAGCAGACCCAAATTTATTTAGCAGCAAAATCTGAATGTACTGACTTTGCGGCTATTTGCATTTTTTACTTACTCTGCTTAATGTGAATATTCATATGTTTTATTGCAAAAATAGTAACATATGTGATTACCACCTAGTCACTCATATTTGGTGTATACACAGTATGACCTTTCTAATATATGAAATGAATCTGAATCTAAAGCAAATCTGATACCAAGGCTTTAGATAAGAGATTGTACAGCTGTCATATCAATCACTGACATTTGATTATCTGAATGGATTAATATATCAATCCACATTCTTACTAATTACATGCTTCACATTGACGCTTCAAGGGCTAGACTGAGTTTGTGTTGAGAAATACCCAAGAAAACTAGATGTAACTGCCAGATTTATGGAATCTTCAGAGTAGTAAAAGCTCCGTTGAAAAGAGAGAATCCCTGTTACTTACAACAGGAATACATGAATCTTTTCTGAGTAACAGAACAAGCTTCATTATGTATTATACTTTCAGTTAACAAAATGTGTTTCAGGACACAGACTCACTTGAGGTGAATAATCTCCTCATCTGCTACATCATTTTAAAAGGTGCCATTACTCAAACAAGGTCAAAAGAATAAACAACAGAAGAGGGAAGATAAAAGATAATTTTCTGGGATAATCATGTGTGTGTGTATATATATATATATACATATATATAGTAGTAGTAATAGGAATGGCCTTAAAAAGCCACATGGCCTAATAAGAACAAATGTTCTGAATCAGAAAGAGAGAAAAGATATTTAGAAATCCACCTAACCATGTCCTGGAATCATGCTGAGAGATTATACCATAACATTCTATTAACCATAGTCCCAGATTAGCAATCACTGACAAGCCATTTTCCCTCATGTCTATTTTTCACTTATTTCTGAAAGAATAAAGAATTAAATCTGCAAGGAAATATAGAACTTTTTAATTCATTGTGAAATTTTCTTCTGGTTGGAATTAGATATATTCAGGATATTATCCATCCCTGACATAGGTTTCAAGTTCCCCTCTGAGCACCAGACTCCATTTCCTTTCGGATGTCAAATAGTCACGTCCAAAACTAAGTTTATTATCTCCATATCCTTCCCATCACCAAACCCTATTGCCCCTGGGCTTCCACCTCTCAGTAAATATCACAGCATTTACCAGTTGTTGGCTTGAGCCAATATGCGTGGAGTTACCAATGACTTCCATTCCTTCACACTCCACGATCAATCCATAGGCATATCCTGTCAACTCAGTCGTTAGACAGATCATGTCAGTCACAGCTTCAGAGTATATGTGGAGTCTGACAACTTTCCCTCACCTCTGTTATTACCATGACAGCCCAGTTGCCCACCATCTCTTACCTGGACCATTGTCACAGCTTCACATCCCATCTTGCTTCTGCCTTTGCAACTGGCTTCCAATTTAAATCTATAGAATTTTATTTTCTTTAATTCTTGCTGTAAATTGCCACATATTTTATGCACCATATGAATGTAGTCATTTTCAATAAAGAACTGACCTTATTTAGATAAAAAGAAATAAGCAACTTCGACCGTATTCTCTGCTTATCTGTGGCTTCAAATATTTTGTGCTATGTTGTTCTTCTAGCTGCTCTTTAAAAATGTCAAGCAAGATCCATCTTTGTACTAGCTATTCAGTATCTCTGAAATTTTCCCCTATAGCATAGATAGCTTCCTCAATTCGTTTCTTGGGTAAATTATCTCTTCCTGATAGAATTCTTCTAGATAACCTAACCCCTAATGTGCACAGAACACACACACGCAGACACGCACGCACACAGCTCCCACTGCCCTCCCCACCCCACCCGCCTCCAGCCTGTGTCTTCCCTGGTTTTGTGTTTCCTTATGGAAGTCGTTATTTCTTGTTCCCATGTATGGAATTTTGTTTTTTCCCTGTCTGTCTCTATTCACTAGGAAGATTTTATGCAAAGAAAGAAAATGTTCTCTGAATAATATTATTGGACTTTGTTTTTTAAAACTTTCTGACAAAGAACATACAATTTGCTATAACTGAATTCTTGTTTCACTGGTCTTTATCAGTGTTGAGAATTTTTGAGATCCAAAATGTAGAACCGCTCTAACTGGGAAATCTAAAAAAGTGTCCACCAGCTGTCATGGGACGTTTTTGGGGCAGTGGACAAAGTGCATTAGTAGATCTCCCATGGCCTGTGTGTATTTGTTCCTAATTGTTATCTTTATTTTCCGGGCCTGACTGGAGCAAATGTGAGTGGAACTAATGGAGGAGGCAGAAGGAAGGTCAGAGGTTGGAGATCTGCCCATCAGCACTGAGCCCAGAGGCAGCAGCTGTCTGGACTGACTCGGTACCTGCTATGAGAGAGCAGGAAAGGATGGCAGACACTGCAGTTAGCACAGAGACAGAAACATTCTCAGTCTGAGTGTGTGTTACATGCCAGACACACAGTTGGTCGACAGTAGGGAAAAGGGAGGCTGAGGGTGTGGCTGGGTAGCTACCAAGCCGTGAGCCAGTGGTGGGCAGCGACACAGTGAGTCAGAGGAAGAGCAGGTCTGCAGGACACGTCAGCCCTGCTGCCAGGTGTGGTGTCATTCCAAACAGCTGCACCTGTGGGTCCAGAGGTGGTCAGCGGATATCTAGTTTCAGTCGGCCTTCATTCTGCCTCTGGCTGTCATGGCCACTGGGTTACTGAAATCATGGCTTGTTTCCTTCTGTATCTCTCCATCTTCATGTACAGCTTCCCTTTATCCAACACGAAGTCAGGCAGATTGTCCTTGTAAGGCAAACTAAACATTAGCAGAGGCAAGTACACACACACAACACTCAGGAAGTTAGAGAACATTCTTTAGTCGCTTGAAGCAAAAGGGCTTTTCCTGGCTAGGAAGCAAAAAGAAAACATTGTTTCTAAACTTGAAGCTAATGCCATCTACCATTTATGAAGAGCTCTTTGTGCATAAGGCTGTGTGCTCTGGGTTTCCAGCACTCCCACATTTAATTCTTGCACAATTCCTGTAAGGGTTACAGTTTCCAAGAAGGTAAAGAAACAGTCTCTGGCTGTGAAAGGGCTCTTTTTCACCTTGTTTCCTAACTCCATTTCTACAATAGCAAAGGAATGAGAGACTTAGTGGTGTATTTGTCCTTATGAAACATTCTCATATATATATATATATATATACACATACACACACATAAATGATCCTCCTGCAAAGCAAAATATATGTATATATGTATACACATAATATAGATAAAGATGTATAGATATAAAATCCATCTGAAAAGCAAAGTGTAGAGAAAAAAGAACACAAAATCCTGCTAGGATGTGGTGCCAATTGAATAGGAGACATTTCTTCATGTGGATTTAGAGTTGAGCAGAGTAGCCCAAGCTTTAGAAGTTTGTTTGAGATGGATCTGTGCTAGCAAGGAATGTCACATCAAGTGACACCTCTACAAATGGATCTTTCTAATACTTGTGGGCCTTCTTCACAAATTAAGGGTCAGCATGGTGTGTTGCCAACTTCACAAATTATTCAGAAGATTTGAGTTTCAGCTGTAGGATGAAATGAGTTCAGGGGCTGGATGCAGGTGGTGGTTGAACAACAATGTGAATATATTTAATGCCACTGAACTGTACACTTAAAATGGTTAAAATGGTAGATTTTATGGGATATATATTTTACCACAATAAAAACTATTTTAAAAGGCATCCTATGAGTTAAATAGTCAATGGGCTATATTAGTAGTGCATGAGCTACACAGCCTTGTGTTACTTTTTTTCTCTCTGATTTTAATTGGGTCTGATTATTGGTAATATTGGTAATATTTGGTAATATTTGAGCAACTTGCTTCTAACTGTAGGGTTTTGAAAAAAACCATTTTTTGTGGATTCTTAAATATTGTAGTAAATGGAAACGCCCTTTTTATGGGAGCCTGTGCTGGGGCTTCACAGTCACACAGAGTTGCCTTTGAGAACAAGAATCAGTTATAAACTATGTAAAGTTGGGTAATCTAACTTCTCAAAGTTCTAACTTTCTCATTTGTAAAATTTTAATTGGGTCTGAGTTTTAATAATAAAACCTTTATTCTGAAGGTTTTATTATATTTTTCAGAATAATAAGACTCCTAAGGTTAATGTTTTTAGTCTGATGTTATTGATTCAGTCCCATTAGTGTGAGGGAGAAGCCTTCTGTGGTATGATGCCACTAGGAACACAGAGGTACCACCTGTCAAGAAGGATTTAAGCCATTGTTGCGGTGACTGAGTGAGATGCCAGTACTCTAAGTTCCATGGGCAAACACGTGACCTTGAGAAATAGCAGAAAAGATTTTAACACATATTTATGTTAGATTAAATGGGTAACTGCCTGGGAATTTTATAGAGTATCCAAAATAGCAACTGTGGGTGAGTGTTATCAAATGATTAAGCATGGAAGTGAAGTACAATAACCATACTCTTTAAGGAGAAGCCCTTCCAGCTCTCTTCCCCACTTTGTGCCCTAATCTGGTGACAACATCTTAGAAAGCACTTGTGATGATATGAATAATAATGGGGCTGATCCAGAATCTAACTGATTTATTCCACAGTAATGGTTCTGTTTTGTCAGGGATTCTGTCGTTTTGTCAAATTTAAAATCAATATAGCACTTCAGTATCATTTTGTTGTTGTAATAGTGAAAATCCTCAGTGATTTCTTTAAGCTGCTCTGTCTTTTAAGAGAACCTCTACCACAGCCCCAAAGGGGACCCTGTCAGTGAAAGTCTGGTTTACCAGCCAAATCCTCAGATATCTCTCTAGTTCCCCATTGGCTGTGAGTCATTTGACCTTCTGAAACAGCTGCCCTAGAATTGTACAGATATCTTAAAAGGTATTAACTTTCATTTTTAAATCAGTGACATTGACAAATCAGAGAAGTGTGCTGGTCTAAGCAGTTTTGTTTCAAGCAGTATCCTCTGTTTTACTTCTATCCCAGACACTGATGAGCAGGGGTGTTTTTCTACACTGAAACTTTGGCTATAGTGATAAATTATCTCAATAGGAAGTATAACCCTCTATATAATTAGTGAAAGTTTTACTTAAACAAAAGTGAATATTCTAGTTTCTGATGAACATTCACTAGATAATGGTTTTCTTGTTTAGAGAGTGTATCTTTGTATGCCTCTGTAGAAAATTCCTGTGAGCTGCTTTTTTTTCCTCTTTCATTGTGATCAATTTTTTTAACGGATTATTCTATTTTAGGTAATATTTGAGCAACTTTCTTTTAACTGTAGGCTTTTGAAAAATCAGTTTTTGTGGATTTTTAAATATTACAGTAAATGGAAATGCCCTTTTTATGGGAGCCTGTGCTGGGGCTTCACAGTCACGCAGAGTTGCCTTTGAGAACAAGAATCAGTTATAAACTATGTAAAGTTGGGTGATTTAACTTCTCAAAGTTCTAGCTTTCTCATTTATAAAATGAGCATAATTGTGTGAGGAAAAATAAGATTATCCACTTAATGAGCTTAACTCTGTGCTTGGCAGATAATAAGCTCCCATAAGACCTTTGTTGTTATATTTTTTCTTCTTATCTCTGTTGCAGCACTTTTCTATTATTTAAAACTTTTTCTATCAAGCAGTATGGTCTGTTATTCTTTCATATAGTTTTGTTCACTTATAGCATACTATGTCAATTTTCATAAACAAGACTGTATCTATATAGATACATGTAATAGAACATGAATATGTGTATCAAACACTGTAAAATTTAAATTTATACATATATAAGGATGCCTATAAAATGACTCATATTGACTATATTTCTTCAAATTGATGAGTTTCTAGAAGGCAAAATAAAAATAACTAGTAGGGAAAGCAAATAGAAAATTTTGTTTGACTCCGTCTTAGGAGTTCAAGGAGAGAGGCCTGACTAAAATTTCTATTCAGAGATACAAAAATGTTTTAATACTTATACGTCACAGTATATTATCAATGCAACACCTCATAATCTCTTTTCCTCTTTCCCTCTTAATGGTGCTATCATATTCTCAAATTCTATGTATGACTTTTTTTATAATTTGGTCTCAGAGAGGCTGAGTTTAGAGTTTCCTTTATTTTGTGGCAATAAAGATTTATTTATTCCTTCATTCCTGTAACCCTGAAAAAGAATTTTAGGCCCTTCTCACTAGGGTCTATCCTTATTTTCCTATGATACAAAGAGTATTTCAATTAGAGAAGAGACTAAACAAGAGGCATAAAAAATAGGAACCAAGTAAAAATTATTATTATTTGATCCTTGAAAACGCACATAAGAAAATCACCTAGGCCGGCGTGGTGCCTCATGCCTGTAATCCCAGCACTTTGGGAGGTTGATCACCTTGATGTCAGGAGTTCGAGACCAGCCTGGCCAACATGCTGAAACCCCATCTCTACTAAAAATACAAAAAAATTAGCCAGACGTGGTGGCGGGCGCCTGTAATCCCAGCTACTCGGAAGGCTGAGTCAGGAGAATCACTTGAACCCGGGAGGCAGAGGTTGTGGTGAGCCGAGATCATGCCACTGCTCTCTAGCCTGGGCAACAAGAGTGAAACTCTGTCTCAAAAAAAAAAAAAAAAAAAAAAAAAAGATTCAACGGCTCACAGTTTTTAATACTTTTTTTTGGAAATTAATTTAATAATCAGAAATACCTCCCTTTGTATAAGTTATCAGTTAAAATGAAAAGAAGCAAATACTGTTTATAATAGATTTAGAAGGCATAAAATACCACTGGCAGGCAGGAGAGGGGTAAGAAATGTACAAGCTACATGGGAAAAGAAAAGGTTAAAACATTACTATGAGGTATATAAAGAGATCTGCGTAAATTCTCATTTATGGATATGAAGACTCAGTAATGTAAAGATATTAATCCTCTCTAATTTAACCCATAATAAAATGATGTAATTCAAAATTTTACTTTGAAGAATGTTCATTCAAGAATAAACAAGGCAAGTGTACAGATGCCAGCAAGATGGTGAAATAGGACATTCGTCTGCAGAATCATCAATTTGAACCACTGTTGACATCTGAAAATACCACCAAAAGAGCTAAGTGAACTTAAAGAAAATAGAAAAATAATTCAAAATAGCCAAAGCAATCCAAAGCAAAAAGAACAAAGCCAGAGGTATCACATTACCCAACTTCAAACTAAAAGGTTACAGTAACCTCAACAGTCTGGTACTGGTATTAAAACAGGCACATAGAACAATGGAACAGAATAGAGAACCCAGAAATAAAGCTGCATACCTACAGCCATCTAATCTTTGACAAAGTCAACAAACATAAGCAATGGGGAAAGGACTATCTATTCAATAAATAGTGTTAAGATCACTGGTGAGCCATATGCAGAAGAATGAAGCTAGAACCCTACATTTTACCATATATGAAACTGAACTCAAGGTGGATCAAATATTTAAATGTAAGACCTCAAACTGTAAGAATCCTAGAAGAAAACCTATGGAACACCATTCTGGACATTGGCCTTGGGAAAGGATTTATAAGTCCTAAAAGCAATTGCAACAAAAACAAAAATTGACAAGTGGGATCCAGTTAGACTAAAGAGCTTCTGCACAGCAAAAGAAACTATCAACAAAGTAAACAGACAACGTACAGAAAGGGAGAAAATATTTGCAAACTATGCATCCAACAAAGGTTTAATATTCAAAATTTATGAGGAACTTAAGCAATTAGGCAAGCAAAAAGCAAACAACCCCACTTAAAAATGTACAAAATATATGAACAAACATTTCTCAAAAGAAGGCATAAACATGGCCAATAAACATATGAAAAAGTGTTCCACATCACTTATCATCAGAGAAATGCAAATTAAAACCACAGTAAGATACCATCTCATACCAGTCAGAATGGCTATTACTAAAAAGTCAAAAAACAACAAATGCTGGTGAGGCTGTGGAGAAAAGGGAACACTTACATACTGTTGGTGGGAATGTAAATTAGTTCAGCAACTGTGGAAAAAAATTTGGAGATTTCTCAAAGAACTTAAAAGAGAACTACCATTCAACCTAGCAATCCCATTACTGGGTAGATATCCAAAAGAAATCTAATCATTCTACCAAAAAGACACATGCACTTGTGTGTTCATCATGGCAGTATTCACAATAGCAAAGACATGGAATCAACCTTGGTGCTTATCAGTAGTGGATTGAATAAAGAAAATATGGTGTATATATATATATATATATATATATATATATATATATATACACATACATACACACCATGGAATACTATGCAGCCATAAAAAGTAATGAAATCATGTCCTTTGTAGCACCATGGACGCAGTTGGAGGCCATTATCCCAAGTGAATTAACACAGGAACAGAAAATCAAATACTGCATGTTTGCACTTGTACGTAGAAGCCAAACATTGATAACTCATGGATATAAGGATGGCAACAATAGACACTAGAGACTACTGGAGGGGAAAAGGAGGGAGTGGGACAGTGGTTGAAAAACTAACTGTTTAGTTAGTACCTGGGTGAAGGGATCATTCATACCCCAAACCTCAGCATTACACAATATACCTAGGTAACAAACCTGCGTATGTACCTCCTGAATCTAAAATAAATGTTGGAAAAAACTAGAGATCTGGAACTGGGACTGCTCTGGTTTGAATGTGTCCCTCAAAATTTATGTTATGAGGGAGTGGGTTTCTTATAAAAGGACCCTACTTTTGTCTCTCTCTCACCCATGTGATGCCTTCTGCCTTGTTATGATACAGCAAGAAGGCCTTCACAGATGCCACCACCTTGATCTTCAGCATCCCAGTCTCCAGAACTGTTACAAGTAAATTTCTGTTTATCTAAAAAAGGAAAAATAATTCAAAAATTAGTAAGTCATTAAATGAATAAAATGAGAAAATTAAAGATTGAAATTATACAAAAAAACTAACAAATTCTGGAGCTGAGAAATGCATGAATGAAATGAAAATTGCAATAGAGAATGTCAACAGCAGAATCAATGAAGCAGAAGAAAGGCTCTGAACTCAAAGACAGTTTAGTGAAATTATACAATTGGAGAAAAAAGAATATAAAGTAATGAAGAATGCTTATGGAACTTACAGGAAAGCATCAAAAGAACAAAACTTAAAAGTATGGACACTGAAAAAGGAGAATAGAGGGACAAAGTTCTAGAAAGTTTAGTTAAAGAAACAATAGGCTGGGTGTCGTGGCTCATACCTATAATGTCAGCGCTTTGGGAGGCCGAGGTGGGAGAGTCGCTTGAGCCCAGGAGTTTGAGGTTGCAGTGAGCTATGATCATGCTATTGCACTCCAGCCTGGCTAATAGAGCAAGTTTTTATTGTAAAGAAAGAGATAGAGGGATAGAGAGAGAGAGGAAACAGTAGCAGAAACAAGGAAGGAGGGAGGGAGCAAAGAAGAAAGTAAGACAGGAAGGAAAAAAAGGCAGTCAGGAAGGCAGGCAGAAAATGTTTTATCAATCTGGGGGAAAATTTACATTTTCATACACAGGAAGGTCAAAGGTGTCTAATCAGATTCAATCCAAGCAAGACTACACCAAGACATATTATTATCAAACTTTGAAAATTCAAGGACAAAAAGAGTATTCTGCAGCAAAAGAGCATCAAGACAAAAGAAGCATGTCACATATAAGGGAATTCCATTAATACTAGAAGCAGACATCACAGCAGAAACCTTACAGGCCAGGGGAGAGCGGGATGATGTATTCCAGTGCTGAAAGGAAAAAAACAAAACATAACAAAAACTGTCAACCAAGAATACACAGCAAAGCTCTTCTACAGAAGGAAAAGAGAAAAGGACTTTTGCAGAGACACACACACACAAAGTCAAGAGTTCATTACTCTCAGAAGTGTCTTACAAGAAATGCTAAAGGAAGTTCTTCAGGCTGAAAGAAAAGGATGTTAATTAGTAACACAAAAATATAAGAAAGTTTGAAACTCACTAGTAAAAGTAAGTACAAAAAGTTTAAGTCAAAAGTAAGTACAAAAGTAAGTCAAATTTTAAAACTGTGGTGGTAGTGTTTAAGTAACATTTATTACAGTGGTTAAAACAAACTATTAAAAATAGTTAAAGCTGCAATAATTCATTAAGGGTTACACAATATAAAAAGCATCAAAAACAAAGTGTGGGTGGGTAAAAATGTTGAATTTTTGTGTGTGATCATGGTTAAGTTGTATTCAAGTTAAAAAAACTTGCTGCAACCCTAAGATATTTTATGTCAGCCTCCTGGTAACCACAAAGCAAAAACCTGTACTAGATATACAGAAAATACAAAGTAAGGAATTAAAGCATGCCACTATAGAAAATTGCCTAATCACAAAGGAAGACGGAAAGAGAAGGAAGGAACAAAGGAAAACAAAGCTAGAAAGAATGAACTAAAGGGCTATAGTCAGGAAACAAAGCCAGAGAAGAATGAACTAAATGACTGTAGTCAATTTTTACCTGGCAACAATTACCTTAAATGTAAATAAATTAAACTATTCAATCAGAAGACATAGTGTGACTTAATGGATTATAAAAACCAGACCCAGCTCTGTGCTACACACAGGGAACTCACTTCACTTATAAGGACACACACAGACTGAAAGCAAAGGGATGGAAAAAAGATACTCCATGCAAAGGAAACCAATAAAGAGCAGAAGTAGCTGTACTTATACCAGATAAAATAGATTTTAAGTCCAAAACTGCCACAAGAGACAAAGTCAGTATGTAATGCTAAAGGGGGCTGGGCGCAGTGGCTCACACCTGTAATCCCAGCACTTTGAGAGGCCGAGGTGGGTGGATCATGAGGTCAGGAGTTCAAGACCAGCCTGACCAACGTGGTGAAACCCCATCTCTACTAAAAAAATACAAAACAATTAGTCGGGCATGGTGGCACACACCTGTAATCCCAGCTACTCAGGAGGCTGGGTCAAGAGAATCACTTGAACCCAGGAGGTGGAGGTTGCAGTGAGCTGAGATTGCACCACTGCACTCCAGCCTGGGCCACAGAGCAAGACTCCGTCTCAAAAAAAAAAAAAAAAAAAAAAAAAGAAGAAGGATAACGGGATAAGTTAACCCAGAGAATGTAACACTTGTAAATATGTGTGCACCAAATGATGGAATATCTGAATATATAAGGCAAATACTAACAGATCTGAAGGGAGGGGGACTTAATAGGAGGGAAATTCTATATCCTATTTTCAGCAATAGACAGCTCATCCAGACAGAAAATCAGTAAGGAAAAATTAGACTTAAACTATGTGTTAGACCAAATGGACCTACCAGACATAAACTGAACATTGCATCCAACAGCAGCAGAAGACACCTTTTTCAAAAGCACACAGAGAACATTCTCCAGGATAGATCATATGTTAGGCCACAAAACAAGTCTTAATAAATTTAAGGAGATTGAAATCGTATCAGTTATACTTTCTGACCACAATGGTATGATTCTAGAAATCAGTAACTGAAGGAATTTCGGAAAATTTGGCTGGGCGTGGTGGCTCACGCCTGTAATCCCAGCACTTTGGGAGGCCAAGGTGGGCAGATCACGAGATCAGGAGATCGAGACCATTCTGGACAACATGATGAAACCCCATCTCTTCTAAAATACAAAAATCAGCTGGGCGTGGTGCACGCCTGCAGTCCCAGCTACTTGGGAGGCTGAGGTAGGGGAATTGCTTGAGCCCAGGAGGTAGAGATTGCAGTGAGCCAAGCTCATGCCACTGCACTGCAGCCTGGTGACAGAGCGAGACTGTCTCAAAAAAAAAAAAAAAAAAGAAAAAAAATTCAGAAATACATGGAAATGAAACAACATGCTCCTGAACAACCAGTGGGTCAAAGAAGAAATTTAAAGGGAAATTTTAAAATGTCTTTAGACAAACAAAAATTGACCCATGCCATATCAAGACACATGGGATACAGCAAAAGCAATTCTAAGTTTATAGCAATAATGGCCTACATCAGCAAGGAAGAAAGATATCAAATAAACAACCAAACATTACACCCCAAGGAACTAGAATAACAAGAACAAACTAAGCTCAAAGTTAAAGAAGGAAAGAAATAATAAAGATCAGAGCAGAAACAAATAAAATACAGACTAGAAAAACAATTAAAAAATCCATAAAACTAAAAGTCAGGTTTTTAAAAATATATAAATATATATAAAAATATAACATATAAACAAAATAGACAAATCTTTAAGAAAAAAGAAGTCTCAAAATCAGAAATGAAAGAGGCAACATTACAACCAATATTACAGAAATACAAAGGATCTTAACAGACTACTATGAATAAGTATACATCAACAAATTGGACAACCTAGAAGTGGATAAATTTCTGGACATATACAACCTGCCAAAACTGAACCATAAAAAAAAGAAAATCTGAGCAAACCAATAATAAGCAATAAAATTGAATCAGTAGTAAAAAGCTCTAATTAAATAAAGACCTAGGCCCTGATGGCTTCACTGCTGAATTTTACGAGGCATTTAAAGAACTAATACTAATTATTCTCAAACACTTCCAAAAAATGGAAGAGAAGGGAATACTTTCAAACTCATTTTATAAAACCAGCATTATCCTGATACCAAACTCAGAAAGTACACTACAAAAAAAGACAATTATAGGGCAATATCCTCATGAGCATAAATGCAAAAACTCTATGAAATTTTAGCAAACCAAATTCAACAGCATATTAGAAAGATCATTCATGATAATCAAGTGAGATTTATCTGTGGGATGAATTGATGGTCCAATATAGGCAAATCTATAAATGTAACATATCATGTTAATAGAACAAAGGACAAAAAACATGTGATTATCTCAATGGACACAGCAGAAGCATTTGACAAAATCTCTAACAACCTTTTATTCTAAAATCTCTCAACATATTGGGTGTAAAGAGGACAATATAGCTCGACAAAATAAAGGTCACATATGACAAACCCTCAGCTAACATCTTATTCAGCGGTGAAAAGTTGAAAACTCTTCCTCTGAGATCCAAACAAGACAAGGATGCCCACTCTCACCACTTCTTTCAACACAGTACTGAAAGTTCTATCCAGAGCAATTAGACAAGAAAAAGAAGGAAAAAACATCCAAATTTGAAGAAAACAGAATTTAAATTGTCCCTCTTTGCAGATGACATGATCTTATATATAGAAAGCCCTAAAGACTTCAACAAAAAATTATTAGAACTAATGAATAAATTTCAGGCCAGGCATGATGGCTTATGCTTGTAATCTCAGCACTTTGGGAGGCCAAAGTAGGAAGATCACTTGACTCCAGTGGTTTGAGACCTGGACAACATGGCAAGACCCCCATTTCTACAAAAAAATAAACAACGAGCTGGGCATGGTGGCATGTGCCTGTGGTCCCAGATACTCAGGAGGCTGAGGTGGGAGGATCACTTGAGCCCAGGAGGTTCAGGCGGCAGTGAGCTGTGATAGTGCCACTGCACTCCAGCCTGGATGACAGAGCAAGACTCTCAAAAGAAAATAACCCCAAATAACTAATAAATAAATTCAATAAAGTTACAGTACAACATCAACAGAAAAATCAGTTATGTGGTCTATATACTAATAATGAAGTGTCTGAAATCAAGAAAATAATCCAATAAGATACTTATGAATAAATTTAACCAAGGTGGTGAAAGAGTTGTACACTGAGGTTTACAGAATTTTATAGTAGACTATAAAATATTGATGAAAGAACTTAAAGATGACAGGAATCGAAAGATATCCCCATGTTCATGGATTGGAAGAATTAATATTAAAATATTCATAATACCTAAGGTGATCTACAGATTCAGTGCATTACCTATGAAAATTCTAATGACATTTTCCACATAAATAGAGAAAATGATCCTAAAATTTGTGTGTAACCACAAAGGACCTCCAATAACCAAAGCAATCTTGAGCGTAAAGAACAAAGCTGGAGGTATCACACTATCTGACATCAAAATGTACTACAAAGCTGTAGCAATGAAAATAGCATGGTACTGACATAAAAACAGACACATACATAGACCAGTGGAACACAATAGAGAGCCCAGAACTAAATCCAGGCATTTATTGTCTGTTGATTTTTGACAGAGGTGCTAAGAATACACAATGAAGAAAGTTTAGTTTCTTCAGTAAATGGTATTGGGTAAATGGGATATACATGCTTAACAGAATGAAATTAGACCCTTATCTCACACTATATGCAAAAATCAACACAAAATGGGTTAAAGAGTTAAACTTATGACCCATAACTGTGAAACTACTAAGAGAAAATACAGGGGAAAAGCTCCATGATATTGGTCTAGGAAATCATTTTCTGGATACAACCCCAAAAGCATTGGCAATAAAAGCAAAATTAGACAGATTAGGTTATTTCAAACTAATTTTCTGCACCACATAGGAAACAATCAGCAGAGTAAAAAGACAACCTATGGGATCGGAGGAAATATTTTCAAACAATACATCTGATAAGGGGTTAATATTTAAAATACATAGGCAACTCAAACATCTCAATAGCAAGAAAACAAATAACTGTGCTTTTTAAAAATGGGCAAAAGACCTGAAAAGACATTTCTCAAGAAAGATATATGCGTGGCCAACAGGTATATGAAAAAATACTCAATATCACAAATCATCGGGGAAATGCAAGTTAGAACCACAATGAGATATCACCTCGTACTTGTTAGAATGGTTATTATCAAAAAGACAAAAGATAACAAGTGTCGATGAAGATGTGAAGAAAAGAGGATCCCTGTATACTGTTGGTGGCAATGTAAATTTGTATATCCATTATGGAAAGCAGTAGGGAGGTTCCTCAAAAAATCAAAAATAGAATTACCAAATGATTCAGCAATCCCACTATTGTGTATGTATCCAAAGGAAATTAAATCCGTATGTCTTTTAGATATCTGTACAACCATGTTCATTGCAGTATTATTCATAATAGCCAAGATTTGGAATCAACTGAAGTGTCCATCTGTGGATGAATGGATAAGGAAAATGTGGTGTACATACACAATGGAATGCTATTTGGCCATAAAATAAAAGAAATCCTATTTATTTGTGAGAACATAGATGAACCTGGAGGACATTATGTTCGGTGTAATAAGTCAGGCACAGAAAGACCAATACTACAGGATCCAGCTTATATGTGGAGTCTAAAAATGTTGAGCCCATAGAAGCAGAAGGTGGAATAGTTGTTACCAGGGACTAGCGAGTTTGGGAGTTGGGGAGATGTTGGTCAAAGGATACAAAATTTCAGTTATGTAGGAGGAATAAGTTCAAGATATCTATTGCACAAAATGGTGACTATAGTTAATAACAAAGTACTGTGTTCTTGAAAATTGCTGAGAATAGATTTTTAGTTTTCTCACCACAAAAATAAGTATGTGAGGTAATGCATATTTAATTAGCTTGATGTACTCATTCAATTATGTATGCATGTTTCAAAACATCAAGTTGTACATAATGCATACATATTTTATTCGTCACATTTAAAAAAATTAATTTTCATAAAAGGATAAGCAGTACAATTGGCAACAAGAAATTGAAAAAGGAGTTAGTCTTACCAATTAGAAAAATACCTAGAGGCTGGACGCGGTGGCTCACGCCTGTAATTCCAGCACTTTGAGAGGCTGAGTTGGGCAGATCACCTGAGGACAGGAGTTCGAGAGCAGCCTAGCTGACGTGGTGAAACCCTGTCTCTACTAAAAATACAGAAATTAGCTGGGTGTGGTGGCGTGCTCCTGTAATTCCAGCTACTTGGTATGCTGAGGCAGGAGAATCTCTTGAACCCTGGAGGTGGAGTTTGCAGTGAGACAAGATTGCGCCACTGCACTCTAGGCTGAGTGACAGAGTGAGTGAGACTCTGTCTCAAAAAAAAAAAAAAGTACATAATAAAGGTTGATTCTATATTTTAGTATGCTTGATATTAATAGCAGTGGAAAAAATAGTATTCACTAACAAATTCAAATATATATGCTGATAAAAGATGTGGCATTTTAAATTAGTAAGAAAAAAATTAATAAATGGTACTGGGGAAACTAGGTATCCCTCAGGAAAAAATTAATAAAACTGGACTATTACCCTATTCCTTGCATCAAAGTAGATTGTAGGTGAATTAAAGATTTTAAAGTAGCCACAGAAACAGTTCTAGAAGATTGTGGGAGAGGTTTGCATATATAATGTGGGAGCGGGCATGTATTTCTATGCAAGATGTAAAACCAAGACCACAGTAAAGGGACTAATAAATGAAATTATTTGAAACTTACCAGAAGATATCAATTTATGAATGGGAAATAATATTTTAATATACATGACAGTTTTTTTATAAAGTGCTCTTATACATCAATGGATAAAGATTAAAAAAAAGCAATGTAAAATTGAGAAGGATTGATAAGCATTCCACATGAAGAAAAAATAGTTTATAAATTTATGAGATAATGCTTGGCACGGTGGCTCACATCCGTAATTCCAGCACTTTGGAAGGCCGAGGTGGGCATATCACGAGGTTAGGAGATCGAGACCATCCTGGCTAACCCGGTGAAACCCCATCTCTACTAAAAATACAAAAAATTAGCCAGGTGTGGTGGCGGGCGCCTGTAGTCCCAGCTACTCAGGAGGCTGAGGCAGGAGAATGCTGTGAACCCGGGAGGTGGAGCTTGCAGTGAGCCGAGATTGCGTCACTGCACTCCAGCCTGGGTGACAGAGCAAGACTCCGTCTCAAATAATAATAATAATAATAATAATAATAATAATAATAATAATAATAGTAAATTCATGAGATAATATTCAACCTTGTTTATAAGTTAAAGAAATGCAAATTAAAACAGCAGTGAGGTACTACTCAATTGATTAGAACAACTAAAACATTTACTGAGGCTGTGTTGCTTAGGACATTACTTTCAACTGTACTTTCATAGTTAATGCATTAAATTTAAAGTCTCTTAAAATCTAAATAGTATGCAAACATGCAATATTATGGATATCATTGCTCAGCATAAGGCTCAGGTTAAAAATAATCAGTTTTAAGAACAAATTTAAGTATGAAGACGTTATGTATCTTGAGTGCTTACTGTGCACCAAACATGATTCTTTGTGCTTTGTACATATTAAAATCCTCGCAGAACTCTATGAGCTAGATACTAATATTCTTCCCAGATGAAAACAAGGAAAGCAAAAAGACAGGCTTTATTTATTTGCCCCAATTATAGAGCTAGTTAGTGGTAGCACAATAATTTGAACCCAAGTGGCCTGGCTGCAGAATCTTTACTCACAACCCCTCACCACATCTGGGAATGTTTTAGGTCTGTTTCAAGTGTGCACATGAAAAGGTAAAACTCAGATGATTCAATTTCAGGAACTGGTGCCTTTTTATGAATATGATTTCTTGAAGAACCATTTGGCACTATCTATAAAATTAAAGTTCCAAAAAATGATCAACTTGCAGTGTAGTGAAAGGAGGTAATGCAAAAAGAGTGATGCTTTCAGTTTCTCTCAATGTATAGTTTACGTTAAGCAGCAATGCTACTTCTAGGAATTTATCCCACAGTCATAGTGTAATATATGCATATGTGCATGAAGAGATTAACATTTTATGAATATAATGGTAAATATGTTAGTACAGTTCTCTTTCAGTGGTCATGGTACATTTATACTCTGGAATAGCATGCAGCCTTGAGAAATAATGAGGTAAACATACTTACTGTGAATGAACTTCCAAGATATTTTTCTAAAATCAAAGAATAAGGTAAGATATTCTCCCATTTGAAATTCCCACAATGAATATATATATATATATATACTCATGTAAATATGAAATATTTCTAGAAGGACACATAAGAAAAATAAGAAAAATCATAGCATTTTTCCCCTCTGGGTAATGGGAATGGGATAAAAATATAAAATGGATGCAGATGTGGTTTGAACTATGTGAATCGTATGGCTTTTCAATTAAAAACAAATTGAAATAAACGTAAAAAATAATAATAAGTAGTGATTTTAATGCAATTCTTTTTCCCATTGAAATTTCTCCAGGATGAAAGCCAATCGCTAATGCTCAGTATACTGATATAAAACCTGAAAGTGAACATCAAGACCTTATCTTGATGTGAGAGTGAAGGGCAGTGGCTGGGATGTGTGGGTATCAGTGTACTGGTAAGAAGAAAGACTTTCGTGGGCTTTCAAATGCGAAGGAACAGCCTGGATGTCAGGAGGAGTCCCAGCTAGGGAGGTCATTTGGTATAGCACAGAAGGAGCTTATTAGATTAAAAAAAAACAACGGCTACAAAACTGTATCTCAAGTTAAGTGTCATCCTAACTTTGTAACATTTATTAGTGGATATAACCCAATGGAAAGAAATAGGAGCCTTCAAATTCTAATTGTAATATTTATTTTAGTGGTGTTTTTTAAATTAATGAATCTTTTTTTCTCGTGTTTAATGTTGAATGAATGATACTTATTCATGGCCTGGGTCATCAGTCCTTGACCATCACGTGATGTGGTGCAGACAGCACCTGGCTAAGAGTAACTAACTGAGTGCTGTTTCTAAAATAGCCCCTAACAAACACCTGGCCAAGTACAAGGTGCTCAACACCTGTGAGCTTCCTCCCCTTCGATTACAAAATGCAGGGTGGATGTGGAATCCAGTCACGCACTATAAGGCTGAACCTTGTGAATGTGCTGATATCTAAGTATCTTGACCTACAAAAACAGCAATTTCATATGATCAAGCTAATAAATATACTTTGACTTTCAGGTTTAAAATCACCCATTTCTGCAGCAAAACTGTAAAGGGAGGGCAACACCAGTTTTCCACAGGGGCAGCTGCAGTTGAGACTAACAAGTTCCTATCTAAGTTCTCCTCATTTTTAAATTCACATGGTGTAACTATTTCTCATGCAAACACACACACACACACACACGCACAGAAGTGCTGCAACAAGCTACAATGAAGAAATCCCAAAGTAGACTGAACAATGGGTAATCTACAATAAGGAAGCAGGATGATGTAAATCTTAATATTTTATTGTGCTCTAAAGTAGTATTGAAGTTCAAAGTAAGTTGGCTTTGCTCAGTCCTCTACTTTCTCATCAACCTTTGTGTTGATAGACTCCCAGAGTTCTCACAGGGGATCCATTTGGAAGGGGAAAATGCATCAATACAAGTCTGCCATGGTTTGGGTGGGTGTGCTGGGTAAACCTTGTGAAGAAAGGCAGCGCATCGCTGTCTCAAAATGTATGGCTTTGCTGTTGGAGCAGCCCACTCTGTCTGCGACTTTAACCCGGCTTTCTTCTAGGATGGCTTCCTTTTGCATTTCAGCTGCTGACTCGGTTTCTAAGTTGCTGCTACTAGTCAGTCACTAGAGTTTTGCATCTTTACTCTCATGACCATTTCTCCAGTTCTTGCTTTCCTTTGGTGTCAGGTATCACCCCCAAACGTTTGTCATCTCATCACCTCTGAATTAGGTCCTTTGACCAAGAGTAAAGCCATGTGTTTGCCGACTGGTCTCCACCTCAGAAATATTTACTAATTTCTCTTCTGTCATGTAAACGACTTCTGAGATGGCTCCATTTCCAGATGCCTTTCTGAATTACCATGAGCTACAATGGCTTGCCTACTCTTTGCCTGCCAGTATTTGAAACTCAGTTATTTTCCATTCTATCTTACAATTATTCTATGCTGGCCTTTCCCCCAAATTATACGTATGACATCAATTCATGACAAATCTAATTTTATATGCCACTGGCTAAAACATGTCATTTAGGCTATCTTTACATTCAGAATATTATTGCTCATTTCAGATTGTGAATTCCTAATATATGAGTCCCTTTATCAGAAGCATTTGAACCATCTTGCATAGGGGCTGGGAATACTGAGGCTGAGACCTGTTGGGCTCCATTCCTAGGAGGTTAAGGTATTCTTAGTCACAGGATGAGACAGGAGGTCGGCGTAAGATACAGGTCACAAATACCTTGCTGATAAAACAGGATACGGTAAAGAAGCTGGCCAAATCCCACCAAAACCAAGAAGGCTATGAGAGTGACCTCTGGTCATCCTTATTGCTCAGTATAAGTTAATTATAATTCATTAGCATGCTAAAAGACACTTCCACCAGCGCCATGACAGTTTACAAGCGCCATGACAGTTTACAAATGCCATGGCAACGTCCAGAAGTTATGCTATGTGGTCTAAAGTGGGGAGGAACCCTCAGTTCTGGGAATTGCCTGCCCCTTTCTTGGAACACTCATGAATAATCCACCCCTTGTTTGGCATATAATAAAGAAATAACTATATTTATTTGAGCAGCCCATGCTGCTGCTCTGCCTCTGGAGTAGCCATTCTTTCATTCCTTTACTTTCTTAATAAACTTGCTTTCACTTTCTGGACTTGTCCCAATTTGTTTCTTGCACAAGGTCCAAGAACCCTTTTTTGGGATCTGGATCGGGACCCCTTTCAGGTAATACTTTATTTCCTCATATGGATAGATTCTTAAATCATCTCCACAATGAATATTTTCCTAATACTTTAAAAAATAATATGGATAAGAATAAATATAAATAATAATGCCATATTCTTAATGACTCTCTTTTTGATTAAAACGTAATATTATATCTCATTCCGTCACTGCTGGATTACCTTACAGAGGTTTCTGCTTATAAAGAGACATGCGTTTCTCAAGGAAAACTCACCCTCATAAATAGCAGGACCTGAACAACATGGCTTCTCTGCCATCCGGGTTTCCATTTCCTGTCTAAATAGGCTTTGCATAAAATCCTTTGTTTATTGCGTTAGAAATATATTCTTCCTTTCGCAGATGTCCTTGTGGAATAACCTTTGGTGCTGTGGAAAAGATTCAAGTGTCAAGACACTAGTTCTGAAGTAGCCGATTGGTGTCAAGCATGAGAATAAAAGATGGGCATTAAAAACATTAGCACTTAACCTCAGTCAGGATTTTGTCTGTGAAACAGAAAAAATAGAAGAGAAGTCAGATTTGATCTGCATTCTGAAAATGAGAATTTTTTTTATATTTAAACTCCTCTTTTGTATTCCTTAATGTCCTTATTAATCATTCATATCAAATGGCTTGTCTTTCTTTCAGAGCCTTGAACATTTTAAAGACACCATGTCATTCTTTTTACAAGAGAGAGAAAAAATTACGCAGTTGAAAGAGTTCCCAGGGGAGCTATTGGGCTACACTCTGGCAAAAGTTTTATTAGCTAAACTTCTGACTGAAAGGAAAAATAAATTCAGGTTTAGGAATGGCTTCTATTTATTGTAAGGAAGTTTGCAAAAATTACTGAAAAATATCCCAAGAACACAATGTAAATTTACTCTGGTGGTATTTTTTCCACCCTTGCTTCTCCAAAATAATAAAAAAAGTTAAACGGCCAATAAATTTACATTAACAATCAGTTGTCTACCCTTGAATCAGAATAAATTCATTACTTCGGTAATTAATTAAGCAAGCTCAAATGAAAACTAGGTTCTCCTGAAGAGCTTGCATGTCAGTATTGTCAAGTCACAGTTAAAACATCTCTAAACAGAGAAATTAGCCCTATCACATCTCATTAATTTGTACTATGGGTTTCTTTTATTGTTCTATTTAGAATCTTAATACTAAGATTTTTTTTCTTCATCTGAGCTAAATTCCTTAAGCTATGACACAAAATCTTTTGCGAAAATTATTTCTGAAAGGAAACTGCATTTGTGTGCTGTGACCGGGCAGAGTAAGCTGTAGCTACCTCTGAGTTCAGGTTCAGGAATATGCATTTCTTATCCTTCCCAAATCTTTTTTCATGTTACCTGCTTTGGGCATTGTTTGGAGCTTCTGGTTGCCAGAGGTCCTGTAGGATCACATCTTAGGTCAAGGCAGGCCTACCTTCCAGAGCTGCAGAACACTGGGTACTGAGCTGGTCATCCTCACCCTTTCTCTCTTCTCTTCTCTTCTCTTCTCTCCTCTCCTTTCCTCTCCTTCCTCTCATCTCCTCTATCCCTTCCCCTCTGTGGATCCTTACCCTCCAGCTCCTTGGGTTGTGGCACCAAAAACGTGGCTGGATCTGGTACCCAAGCTAATGTGGTAGAGGAAAATAATTAGTGAAAACCATCAGCACACTCCCTCTGTTCTGGCTTCTTTGTGCATTTTAACAGTGGAGTCTGGAAATAATAGTCCCACTTCAGCTATTTAACCCAAGACTGACTTGAATGCTAGGAATGTCAAATCAGGTAGGGCAGAGTTTCGTCATCAGAGCAAGCAAATGTCAGGTGAACTGGAAGACAAAGCAGGACGTAGGTAAGAATGCAGAGTTTGAGTCAAATCAGTTGGGTTCAAATACTGGGTTCACTGTTTGCTAGCTGTATGAACTTGGATTAGCTGATTAACCACTTTGTACCTTGTTTCTTCATCTATATAATAGGTGTTATTATAGAACATACGTTATAGGATTATTGTGAAAATGAAAACAAAATAATCTGTATAAATTAGTGATAGATCTGAGTTCATCAGTAAATTGATGAATGGATAAGAGTAGATGCCTGATTGCAGAAGACTGAGGAGAGGAAATGAGTTAATGAAAAGGAGAGAGCAAATGATGAATACTTTCTGTAGAAGTCGGGATGCTTAGAAAAAGAGAGTGGGACAGCAGTAGCAAGAGGGACATACACGGGCAGGGGACAGTGTGAAGTGGAAGCTAGAGTGACTAGAGCCTGGTCACTGCCAGGGATGCTGGTGGAACTCCCATGCCCATCAACAGCTTGGAGACAGAAGAAACTCACAGAGTAGCTGAGGGGCAACGTCCCAGAGGGATGGCAGGGAAAAGGATCCAGAACACAGAAGACACTGAAAAACAATGATGTTTTCTGAAACAGGAGGAAAATAGCTAATTATATATGCTTTATTTTAAATTTCTGAAAGGGAGTTTATGGCTGTTCTTATCTACTTGATGTTCAGAAGATTCAAGCTCTGTGATATGAGTGATGAAGGAGCCGGTGCTGTGGCTCATACCTGTAATCCCAACACTTTGGTAGGCTGAGGCAGGCAGATCCCTTGAGTGCAGGAGTCTGAGACCAGCCTGGGCAACACAGTGAGACCCCTGTCTCTACAAAAAAATACAAAAATTACCTAGTTGTGGTGTGTGCCTGTAGTCCCAACTACTCGGAAAACTAAGGAAGATTGCTTGAGTCTGGAAGATCGAGGCTGCAATGAGCTGTGATCGAGCCAGTGCACTCCAGCCTGGGTGACAAAGCAAGAGCCTGTCTCAAAAACAAACAAACAAACAAAAAAGTGATAAGGGAAAAGTGGAATTAAGGTAGGAAATGTTTATGTGTGTGTAGTAGAGGATGTGGAATGGAAAAAGATTTTGACAGGGAACAACAAGAGTCCCTAGTAATAGTACATTTCTACACTGGAAACACCTGCCCAGACCACTGCCCAGACCACTTAAATCCAAACCTCAAGAGAGTAGGAACTAAGCAGTATGTTAAAGAATCCACCTGATGATTCCCATATTCATTCAAGGCTAAGGACCATTGTCCTCGTAGCATACAGACCCCAGGATGGAGACCATGAATAGGGACCCCACCCGCACAGCTGGGGGGTTTTCCCCAGCAATAGTCAGCTGTTTGCAGAACCTGAGAAGGCAACTGAGAAGACTGACCTAGAATTAGCATCTGCAGGTATGCTGACATGCTGACATTGAGGATTTGGCTACATAAATGCTAACAAATTGGCAAAAGAGTCTGGAAAAAATGGTACCATGCTGTTTGGGCAATGTGGAGAGGACAGTTAGATCAAGAGAGGCTGATAACGAAAATCAGAAAGAGTCAGCATGTCAAAGAAGCTATAGTGTGGGAGTGAGAGATCTGGGACTATCTAGAGGTGTACAGTCAACACAGAGTTTAAATAAGATTTCAAAGATGGTGCCCCCATCCCAGGTGGTGATGAGGTTGGCCGTGGGAATGAGGCTGAAGTGAAGCAGCTGGAGCTCATTTGCATCAGGGAACTTGAAGTCAAAGGATCTTATTGGTATTCCTCAAGGATGTTCATATTGTGGCTTTGGGATAGAGGAGATGGTGATAAGTGTAAGGGAATGACTCAGAGTTTAGAAAATGAATTACAATGGCCAGGAAGGGTAGAGGGAGCTATAGTCAAATGGCATTTAAGAGAAGAGATAACTTTCTCGTTGTGTGTGTTCAGTTACTTTTGTGAGGAAGTGCAATGTTATGAAATCAAAGGAGATCGGTGAAAATGTGTCCAGACCCCACCACAAATAAGATGAGGGGAAATGAGGAAACTGCATTCCTGAGTGTTACAAGGGCAGGGGTGTCCAAAAGAAAGACCTGAGTTTTAATCAAGGTGTAGATCAGTGTCTGACACCCAATATAACTGAGTATTTATTGTGTACCAGGTGAGATTTTTAGAATTTTAGCTGCATTCTATTATTTACTTTTTCATCATTAACTTGGGATGAAGAAATACAACTTTAGAGAGGCTCAGTAATGAGCTCATGTCACACAAGCAGAGCCTGTACCAGAAACCTTGGGCTGCCCACCTGGGGAGCCAGTCTCAGTTTCTAGGCTACACCAGAATATTCTCAGATAAGATTAAAGTAGTCTTTTTTCTTCCTTCTTTCCTCCCCTCAACCTCATCCCCCTTCCCTCTCTTCTTTCTTTTTCCCTTCCCTCCCTTCCCTTCCCCTCCCCTCCTTTTCCCTTCCCTTCTTTATGAGGGTCAAAGAGTGCACAGAAAAAAAACTGTGGGGAAGGAAGAAGAGTAGTGGGGAGTGCATGGGTGGATGGGAGTGTAGAGAGCCCGGAAAAGGACAGATTGACCTGAGGATCAACGGCATACGATTTGAGGACATGTCCGGGGATGACAGGGATGAGAGGCCTGGGGGAATGGCTGCTCTCGGGTCTCTGATTGGAATTCTGGAGTGATGTGGTTTTGCTGCCATCCCAGCCCAGAACGTGTCTCTCTTCAGGGTTCCACACAGAAACATTAATCCCAAACTGTTTGGCACGCTGTGGATTCTATGGATTCTGTCTCCCTGGTGGGAGTGAGGGCGATGATCAGGCACAGCTGTTCCCCCTCAGGTTTGGAATTTATCAGTGAGGACGAGTTTAGTGCTGGGCAAAATGCATTTCCTGCCTTTTAAAGGAATATGGATTTGCTCAGCTGAGGACTCCAGGGCACTTTCATGCAGAAGGGGCAGGAGACTTAGTTCCAGGCCCAAGTTCTTTTCCCTCTGAGTCATAGGAACCCCCTCCTCCTTTCTAGTCCCTCTGGCATTTTGTCCTCTGAAGAAATCTGAACCCAAGTGGTTGGTCCTAAAACACTATCACAAACAGAGAACCAACTGAGAGAGGGAGAAAGGATGAAAAGGAGATGCAGGTGAGAGGGGTGAGGGGCAGGGTGCTGGTGCAGTTCACACCAGAAGGAAGGAAGGGAGGGAGGGAGGGAGGGAGGGAAGGAAGGGAAGGAAGGAAGTCTGAATGTTTTCATCTCACCCCACCCTTCTCCAGGCTGGAGGCTGCAGAACTCGACTAGACTCATTTCTTTCTATTTATAATTTGCTATGTCATTTTAAAATTTAATTTTTAATTTATTTTCCCATTTAAACTTGCTTTGGGATTGAATTTGCTTTGGTTTTGCTTTCTGCTTTTTTCCTCCTGATTTTAGCTTTAGTGACCACTTACTTCTTATTATTGACACTTTACTTTGTATGCTGAAGGCTAATTTTCTGCCTTCATTCAAAGTCTGAACCCTGCAGCGATGCCAAATAATACAGAGAAGTCTGATTGTCCTTTATAAAAACAGCAAAATTTTTTAAGTTAAATCACATTCACCTTGAAAGAAATCATGTGCTCGATAAACCCTGAGAACTGCGGCCCCAGGGACTCACCGTGCCCACATTTTAGTTGTACTTTCACATGCAGATTAATGAATGTGACTAACATCTCATAACTCGTATTTTAAAATGTAATACAGTATTTAATATACATTGCACAATAAAATATCAGGAAGACTGAACCGTGGCTTACGTTGATGAGTACTGTGAGAAACAAATTCTACATTGGGGTGAAAATGAATAAAATTAGAAGTTGGGACTGAGAAGGACTGCAAGCTGCTGTGAGCAAGTGAACAGGAAACTGACCCTCTGCAGACTTGAGTAGGACCAGACGCAACTCTTCGAGAAAGACAGAGTAGGAAAACATCTTCCTTTTCCAAAGTGTATGTAGTTAGAGGCCCCCACCCAATGCATTTTCTTCCATTATTACCTATTTTTTAATATTCTATTTTTCAATCTAATTTCCCTTTTCCAGGGTGGAAAAACAACATTTAACTCTGGGAGAGTTTTAGTGTAATTTTGAAATCTGTTAAGCTTGCTGAAAGTTAAAAAGAAGGGAACATATTTTAAAATTTACATTTTGCTGTGTGGTTTCTGTGGTATGTGTAGGCCTGTTGGCTATGAAACACCCAGCCGCTATCACCTTTCAAACTCCTTTGTGAATTTATTAGAGCAAGACCCAAGAAACAAAAACAAAACCTTGTCTTCCTTATTTTCTTTCAACCTTGCTTCATCCCAAAGTGTACTTGAAGTGGAAATCATTTGAATTTTCCACAGTGCATTATGTTTACTGATATCTATACATCTTCCCTCAGATAAGATCCTAGGAGTAATCACCATTACCTCTATTTTGCAAAAGGAAGATGGGAAATTCAAGGGGGATGAGTGATTTACATCATACTTGGAATTGTGACAGGTCTTGAACTCTGGTTTATTTAGATCTTCCAAGTTAAAAACCCTTCCCCCCAACCCTGCCTCACCACAGAATCCAGCACTGCCTCCCTCAGTTTATAAGTAGGTGACATGTGGACAGAAAGATTCTGGAAAGTCCTGGTTTCTCAGGGTGGCAGCATTTTCTACTGGAAGTTTCTCACAGGCCGGTCCTTGTGTGGTTTGCAAAGTGAGCCCACAGCACTGACTGTGGGGAGGAAGACGGGGACAACAGCTCTGTGGGAAATGAAAGCAGCAGAGAATTCTGACTGTCCTCCATCTACCCCATGGCTGTCCTGCAGCTGCAGGACTCTGTTGGACAGTTCCAGTGGCCCCTGTTGTTCTCCCAGTTGCTCCAACTTGGAAGACGGAATCCCAGAGGACAGGTTGCTATTGGGCCTCTAAGCTCCTCACAGCACTGAGGACCTACAGAAAGTTCAGTGACAGGAAAGTCTGAGCCCCACCGAGATGATATTAAAGATGCAGATTGCTATTCTGTGTTTAACTGAATCTTCAAGGTGTGAATGTCAAGCTGAAAATGACATGCCAATTTAAGACATTAGACCAACTCAGTTTGTGATTTTAAAAATTATACCATATTTTGTTTATCCATTCCACTCATCAGTGGACATTTGGGTTATTTCCACATCTTGGCTGTTGTGGATAATGCTGCAGTGAACATAGGAGAGCCAAAATTTCTTTAACATCTTCATTTTATATTGGGGGGGTGTATATACCCGAAAGTAAGATTGCTGGATCATATGATAGTTCTATTTTTAATCTTTTGAGGATTTGCCATAATGTTTTCCATTGCAGCTGCACCATTTACATTCCCACCAATGGTGCAAAAGGGGTTCCTTTTTTTCACATCCTTGCCAACACTTGCTATCTCTTTCGGCATAAATTTCAGTTAAACAAGTTCTAGCGATCTGCTGTACAAAACTGTGCCTATAGTTAATGGTACTGTATTGTTTAAGATGATAGATTTCATGTTAAGTTTCTTACCACAATAAAAATAATTATGCCATAAAATATGCATAAGACTTTTTCAATGAATGTAATACTCAAAATCTGCAACGGAAATGCTTCTTAGCAACAAGGGACCAATAGGAGGATTATATCCTTTCATTCTTCAGCTATACTTAAAATGGGTATTTAGAGTTGAAAAATAATCAGTGTATTTTCACTGTTTTTATTTGGAGTCACTACACAAACAGCTATAAAATTTTGAAGAAAAATAGGCTTATGCAGAAGTATAGAGAGGAAAGATTACATACACCCACAGACCTGACTCCTAGCAAGCGCAACTTGTAAAGTATGAAACAGCTTATATGTTACGAGTGTAATTATAAATTGGCAAAATGTCCTTTTTATCACACTCCAGTACATTTTTATTGCTTTCAGCTTGCTCAAGGTTTTTTATTGCTCAGGATTTGTCTCTGAAATGTACTTGGAGGAGGGAGCTATACATTGTAAAGCCATACACAATCTTAGAAACCCTTACCTCCTGAACCACTTCTTCTGGCACAGGCTTTATCCTTTTCCTTTTCTTGTTAAGTCCACAGAACCATCTCAGGGCAAAATGGTGAAGTGGGCCGACGTAGCCTTTTCTAGTTCTCTGTGTGGTTCACCCGTTCACCGATCTGAATTTCTTCGGACCCCGTCTGAGTCGGTTGTCCTCAGGAGTCGTGTAAAGTCTGGGCCCCAGCCTGCGCGCTCCTTGTTTCCTAGTCCAGGGAGTGCTGGTGTTCTGGTTTAATAAACATCCTGGACAAATGAATGAAAAAGGCACTAACTGATAAGAATCCCCATAAAAGGCTATTTAAACTTTAATAATGAACTTTAAAAGGCTTGTAGGCCCAAAACAATGAGTATTTTGATGGTGACAACTCAGATGTGAGAAATGGAGGTGATACTTTGGGAGAAAGTGACTGCAGTAGTCCCCAAATCCCTGGTGGATGCCAGAAACTGCAAACAGTGCTGAACCCTATATGTACTATGTTTTTTTCTTATACATACACACCTGTGATGAAGTTGCTTTTATAAATGAGGCACAGAGATTAACAACAAGAACCACTAATAAAATAGAAAATTGTAGCAATATGCCAGCATCACTACTTGTGCACTTTGGAGCCGTTGTTGATTGAAATAAGAGTGATTTGAACACAAGCACTGTGATACCATGACAACCCACCTGATAACCCAGAGGGCTACTTAAGTGACTAATAGGTGGGTAGCTTATAGGGCATGGATATGCTGGACAAAGGGATGATTCACGTCCCATGCAGGACAGAGCAGGGTGACATGCGTTTTCATCACATTACTCAGGATAGTGAGCAATTTAAAACTTATGAACTGCTTATTTCTGAAATTTTCTATTTAATATTTTCAGGCTGTGATTAACCACGGGTAATTGAAACTATGGAAAGCGAGCAAAACTGCAGATAAGGGGAGACGACTGTATTTCTGATGTACTTCAAATTATACTTTAAAATTTGTCTATAGAAAATTGTTTGTGTTTATTCTTACAGATCTGTGGAACCAATTTTTAAATCTCCTAGGCAGGCTAAAATAATTGCTTTTGCTATCTCATTTTTTATAAACATTTATTTGTGAGATAAATCTTTACTTTTATCTTACAAATAAAAAAGATAAAGAGATAAAGAATATAATAAAATATATTTGCACTTCTAAAATTTGTATTATTAAGCTTTAAATAAAATACAGGAAAATAGTTCTACTATACTAAACTAAGGAATTTTCTTCTAAGCCTCAAATCTAAAAATCTATAAACTAATCTGAAAGAAAAGTAATGAAAATCAGGGCCAGGTGCAGTGGCTCATGCCTGTAATCGCAGCACTTTGGGAGGCCAAGGCAGGTGGATCATCTGAACTTAGTAGTTCCAGACCAGCCTGGCCAACATGGTGAAACCCAGTCTCTACTAAAAATACAAAAATTAGCTGGGCGTGGTGGCAGGCATCTATAATCCCAGCTACTCGAGAGGCTAAGGCAGGAGAATCTCTTGAACCCAGGAGGCGGAGGTTGCAGTGAGCTGAGATCCCACCACTGCACTCCAACCTGGGCAAAGAGCGAGACTGTCTCAAAAAAAAAAAAAAAGAAAAAAAGAAAATATCAATATTTCTATATAAACTTGGGAATCAGTTGTGCATTTCAGACAAATTTGGGTGAAGGTGATTATGGTTATTATGACAATGAAATACTGACCATCTCTGAGCAAAGGGCTTAAGGAAGTATGTGGGAAGTGCTCAAAAACATAAGCTATGATGATGATGATGATGATGATGATGATGATGATTTGAATTTGAGAATATAATCCCATTTTCTTTGGGCTATTCAAAAACTAGCAAAAAGTCAATTAGTTAAAAAAATTTCATTTCAGAAATTAGTTTCTGTGGCCTAGAGGAAAAATACACTGTGTATTCTCATCAATCACTGATTTGAATGGACACTTAAAATACACCTCCATGTGCAGGTAAAAAGAAGTTACTCAATGATGAGCAACCTTGTGGACTAGAAATACAGTCATCCCTGGATATCTGCGGGAGATTCATTCCAGGAGCCCCCCACCCCCAAAGATACCAACATTCATGGATGCCCAAGTCCCTTATATAAAATGGTGTAGTTTTGTATGTAACCTTTGTACAGCCTCCTGTATACTTAAATCATCTCCAGATTACTAATAATACGATGCAAATGCTGTAAAAATAGTCGTTATACTATATTGTTTAAAGAATAATGGCAAGAAAAAAATGGTTGTGCATGTTCAACAAAGTCACAGCCATCCATTTTTTCCCTACTATTCTTAATCACAGTTGGATTCATGAGTGCAGAACCCATGGATATGGAGGGCTGCTGAGTGTACTATATCCCTAGAAAGTTATTCTGAAATAGAGATAAGTAAGCGTAAATCTTACTCATATTTACAGGGTTGCAGCATTGTTTATAAGAGTGAAAATTGACAACTCTCTAATATCTAGAGGTTTATCTATCTAGAACAGGAAGATCATGTTAAATATATACCATCCAAAACTATGCAGATCTTTTTTTTTTATATACTTTAAGTTCTAGGGTACATGTGTACAACGTGCAGGTTTGTTACATATGTATACATGTGCCATGTTGGTGTGCTGCACCCATTAACTCCTCATTTACATCAGGTATATCTCCTAATCCTATCCCTCCTCCCACCACCCCACGACAGGCCCCAGTGTGTGATGTTCCCCATCCTGTGTCCAAGTGTTCTCATTGTTCAGTTCCCACCTATGAGTGAGAACATGTGGTGGTTGGTTTTCTGTCCTTGCGATAGTTTGCCCAGAATGATGGTTTCCAGCTTCATCCATGTCCCTACAAAGGACATGAACTCATCATTTTTTATGGCTGCATTGTATTCCATGGTGTATATGTGCCACATTTTCTTAATCCATTCTGTCATTGATGGACATTTGGGTTGGTTCCAAGTCTTTGCTATTGCGAATAGTGTCGCAATAAACACACGTGCATGTGTCTTTATAGAAGCATGATTTATAATCCTCTGGGTATATACCCAGTAATGGGATGACTGGGTCAAATGGTATTTCTGGTTCTAGATCCTTGAGGAATCGCCACACTGTCTTCCACAATGGTTGAACTAGTTTACAGTCCCACCAACAGTGTAAAAGTGGTCCTATTTCTCCACATCCTCTCCAGCACCTGTTGTTTCCTGACTTTTTAATGATCACCATTCTAACTGGCGTGAGATGTTATCTCATTGTGGTTTTGATTTGCATTTCTCTGATGGCCAGTGATGATGGGCATTTTTTCATGTGTCTGTTGGCTGCATAAATGTCTTCTTTTGAGAAGTGTCTGTTCATATCCTTTGCCCACTTTCTGATGGGGTTGTTTGATTCTTTCTTGTAAATTTGTTTAAATTCTTTGTAGATTCTGGATATTAGCCCTTTGTCAGATGGGTAGATTGCAAAAATTTTCTCCCATTCTGTAGGTTGCCTGTTCACTCTGATGGTAGTTTCTTTTACTATGCAGAAGCTCTTTAGTTTAATTAGATCCCATTTGTCAATTTTGGCTTTAGTTGCCATTGCTTTTGGTGTTTTAGACATGAAGTCCTTGCCCACGCCTATGTCCTGAGTGGTATTGCCTAGGTTTTCTTCTAAGGTTTTTATGGTTTTAGGTCTAACATTTAAGTCTTTAATCTATCTTGCATTAATTTTTATATAAGATGTAAGGAAGGGATCCAGTTTCAGCTTTCTACATATGGCTAGCCAGTTTTCCCAGCACCATTTATTAAATAGGGAATCCTTTCCCCATTTCTTGTTTTTGTCAGGTATGTCAAAGATCAGATGGTTGTAGATATGTGGCATTATTTCTGAGGGCTCTGTTCTGTTCCATTGGTCTATATCTCTGTTTTGGTACCAGTACCATGCTGTTTTGGTTACTGTAGCCTTGTAGTATAGTTTGAAGTCAGGTAGCGTGATGCCTCCAGCTTTGTTCTTTTGGCTTAGTATTGTCTTATCAATGAGGGCTCTTTTTTGGTTCCAGATGAACTTTAAAGTAGTTTTTTCCAATTCTGTGAAGAAAGTCATTGGTAGCTGGATGGGGATGCCATTGAATCTATAAATTACCTTGGGCAGTATGGCCATTTTCACGATATTGATTCTTCTTATCCATGAGCATGGAATGTTCTTCCATTTGTTTGTGTCCTCTTTTATTTGGTTGAGCAGTGGTTTGTAGTTCTCCTTGAAGAGGTCCTTCACATCCCTTGTAAGTTGGATTCCTAGGTATTTTATACTCTTTGAAGCAATTGTGAATGGGAGTTCACTCATGATTTGGCTCTCTGTTTGTCTGTTATTGGTGTATAAGAATGCTTGTGATTTTTGTACATTGATTTTGTATCCTGAGACTTTGCTGAAGTTGTTTATCAGCTTAAGGACATTTTGGGCTGAGACAATGGGGTTTTCTAATTATACAATCATGTCATCTGCAAACAAAACAAAACAAAAAACATGGTATTTGCTGTAAAGAGTTTAAATTAACTCAAGGTCGGCCACACCACATTAGAGATGAAGTTATTGTTCAAGTCAGTCTCATCGAAGGCTCATAGATTAGGGATTTTTCAAAGGTAGTTTAGGGGAAGGGCTGGGAGTGGCTAGGAAATGGGTGCTTGCCGCTGATTGGTTGGGGGTGTAATCATAGGGGTGTGGGAAATGATTCTTCTGCATGCTGAGTTACTTATGGGTGGAGCTACGGGAGCTGTTGGCAGGTCCAGTGGAGCCATGGGTAGTCAAACATGCAAAAAACCTGGATATCTCAAAAGGCTAATCTTAGATTCTACAATACTGATGTTATCTGCTGGAATTCATGAGGAAGTTGCATATCTCGTGACCTCTGAACAAATGGCTAGCAATCATTTATGTCTGTATCTTAGCAGAATTTAGGCTCCTCTATTCTCCTAGCCTGGTGGTCTCTCATTAGCTTTAGTTTTGGGGAAGGGCTATTATCATTTAAACTATAAACTAGATGTCTCTCACGGTTGGCTTGCCCAAGCTCAGGAATGATTAAGGGCAACTTGAAGGTCAAGGGCAAGAATGGGGTTAACTAGATCAGGTCTCCCCATTGCCATAATTTTGTCACTGTTAGAATTTGTGCAAAGGCGGTTTCAATTTCACTGTTAGAATTTGTGCGAAGGCGGTTTCCAGAGCTCAGCTTTGACCATAGGACATTGAACTTCCATGTGCCTCATGTTGTTGCTGCTGTTTTACAAATTCATAGACAGAAAATTTCTAGCACACTGCCGGATAAGCTATGAGCAACTCTTATTATCTCATACTAATATTATTCTAGGCAGGTGGCACCTTTTGAGTCTAGTTACTCTGTAGATCCTAACCAAATAGGAGGATGTGACTGCCTCATAGTCACAGAAAATACTCAACCTAGGCCTGATTCATTCAGTATTCTTATTCCCAATGCTGGCAATATTGTTCATTGATGGATCTGTGTGAGAGACACACAGGAATATACAATTGCATCTTATGCAGTATTTTATAGGTAGAGATGGCTTTTTCTTAGAACGTATTATACATGATTACAAGTGTAAAAATATGGTGAAATAATTTTGTTTGCTTTTCAAATGATTTTTGTTGCTAAAAACTAAAATTAAAAATAGGGAACAAGTATCCTAAATGTTTTTGAAACTATTATCATAGCAATTCTCAGACTATCAAGACTATGAACTATTTTCCATGATAGCACACTAATCATAACAATCATAACCATTTGTATGTGCATATCCAATATCTAATATTCAGGGATAAGGTAATATGGATCACCCAGTTTAATGCTCACAGATTCTTATGTGAAAAAATATATATTTGGTCATAGTTAAAATGGACAAAATAAGTGAATCTGTCTGATGGTCAGATAGTAAATATGTCAAACAAACAAATGATTACAATTTTCAGTTAGAATAACAAAAGCACTTAGATCACTGATTTAATAATAGTGATTCCCTAGCTAATTTTTTCATCTGTGCAGGTTGATTATCAGGGATGAAAAAGTGTGAAAACATTCCAATTAAGTAAATTGCTCTGCAGTTGGTGGGAAGTACTAAGTAATTACTTGTGGTGAGTCCAGAGATGAAGATGGAGTGGGCATCTCTGAGTCACCCAGGCAAAGGAAGACAGGTGCTGCTCCTCACAGCAGAACAAGGAGCTGGGTTTAGAGAGACTGGATAGAATATAGCATTAGGAAGATTATTTCTAACAATCAAGTCAGTGCACCAGCATTTGCCTGGGACCAACTGTGTGTTAAACACTGGTAAATACTGGGAGGGTTAAAGGTGCAGATCTTGGGGAACCTAGCATAAAATTCAACACAGCAGACATTTATTCTCCTTGAAGAATTCCTGATTTTGCAGCAATGCCTATCATGTCCCAGAACGAGGCTGGTTGTTGAAAGTCTCTGAGAAACCAGAGATGGCACCAGCATAATACCCTGAACTTTTATAAGGCACAAAGATTTATAATTATAATAAGGAAATCTGAGAGCAAGAAGACATGCTGATCAATCTCACACAGGAAATTTGTCCCAGATCCAAGTCAAATGACAAGTTAGATGAATTGCCTGCTTTCTAAAAAGGTATTTTAACATTTAACTAACGTGATCATTTAAAGTCAATAGCAATATCTCAGAAAGAACGCCTGTTAAGTTGTGATATATTTAGTTATATGCACTATATACAGAGAGCTAAGTGGCTAGTTCTGCTCTCTTCATTATCTGAATTATTTTAAAAATTACATTTACGTTAATCTTGATTCGTATTTTGGATTGCTTTATGTTTCTGAATGATCATTTCCTCAAAGTTATCAGTAGTGAGCAAACACAAACATTTATTTGTCTTTTTTAAACATGCACTACACTTTGTTTTTCTCTTTTTGACTTATTCAAATATGGTAAATTAATTCATTTTTATTTAAAAAAATGATAGGATGCTCAAGTATCAAACATACAAATGTATTTGCAGTGTTTCATTTTTCAATGATTATGTATATTTAATTAATTAAAGATATGCATAAGTGCATATATACATACATTTTTTCCAATAAGGTACTCTTGCTGTCATTGATTATTCATTTATTTTCTAACATTTCTTTCTTTCTTGACCCGAATATAAACTAACTATTTCAGGCCATGCTCTTTTAGTGCTAGAGAAAACTTTAGATTCCATACTACTTTTTTTTTTTTTTTTGAGATAGAGTCTCACTCTGTCACCAAGGCTGGAGTGCAGTGGTGCAATCTCGGCTCACTGCAACCTCCACCTCCCAGGTTCAAGTGATTCTCCTGCCTCAGCCTCCTGAGTAGCCAGGACTACAGGGGCACACCACCATGCTAGGCTAATTTTTGGTTTTTTTTTTTTTTGAAATAGAGATGGGGTTTCACCATATTGGTCAGGCTGGTCTCAAATTCCTGACCTCAGGTGATCCACCTGCCTCAGCCTCCCAAAGTGCTGAGATTACAGGCATGAGCCACCGTGCCTGGCCCCATAGTACTTTGTAGCATGCTTTCCAGCTAAACTGAAGCCTCAGGTGACATACCATGGCTCTCACAGCTAATTAATGAAAAAGCTGGAACCATCACCCACATTTCTTAATTCCTACTTCAGTTCATTTAATAATGCTAGAATAAGGCAAAGTCACACTTTTCTCATTTTGTGTTGATAAACATTGTATTCTAATGGTTAGTAAAAAATAATGCATTCATGAGCACTTTAAAATAATTAAGTACAACTGTTCACATAGGCAGTTATCGATACTAATTTAAATAAGAAACAGTTTTGCATGTTACACCATTATCTGTAATCTTCTGAAAATAACAGGGACAAAAGCAGTATCATCCTTGCCTAATGTCATCTGCTAGTGAGGGGATGCAGACCTAAGTGATTAAGTTGATTCCGGCTGAGAATCAAAGGAAAAGGTCCATAGATTCATCCTTGCTTTCAAAGAGTAGCATTGTGAGAATGAGTAAGAGGAAATATCACTTAGTATTAACAGATAATAATAAGCAGTGTTTCCTACTAATTGATTATTTACCGTATGCTAGTCCTATGTTAAGAGCTTTAGAGATACGTGAGAGTCTTGTGAGTCCGGATCATCATTCTCCCCAGTGTTCAGAGGAGAAGGCTCTGCGTGGTTGAGTGTCTTGCCCACAGTCACAGAACCAGTATATGTTGGGACTTGGCCTCAGACCCAGGTCTCTCCAGCTTCGCAGCCTGTGTTCATCATATGATATATCACTTACAGGAAACTCCAAAACTGAGCTGAAGTCTTTGACAGTTGCAGGAGCCAGCATCCTGCTGGAGCCGTGGCCTCACAGTCCTGTCTATGTCCTTGGGAGGGCTCTGTGGCAGCCCCAGGTCCCACTTGCCAGGAGTCCCTTCTTCACCCATGAGCATCCTGAGAACAGAGGAGGTTGAGGGGGCAGCAGCAGAGGGTTAACAGCTCTTCAGCAGGCACTGGGTCCACATGCTGGAGCCCTTTTTTGTTTATTTACTATGTTTAGACATCAGATGCCAAGGTTTCCATGAGTCACCTTCCTTAGTGAGTAATCATGAAGGAATGATCGGTCTGGTCTGCATAAGACCCTACTCTTGCCTTGGTGTTCATTCATTCATTAATCATATTTTTTTGTACATGATTCATATTTCCCCAGTCCAATACATTTTATTTGTACATATTCTTTTAAAAATCATAATTCTTTTGTTCACACATATTTACACTTACATATAATATTGTTTTATATCTTTCATTTTGCTTTTTACTGATTAACTCTGCATAAATATAATTGTACTAGTCATACTAAGGTGATAAAGATAATATGCTAATTTTTAATAATCTATAGAAACATTTTAATTGCTTCATAAAATCATCAAGGTATATGTCATGGTAATTATATTATTAATGCTATATACTTAGAATTAATACAATTTCTTCATATAACACTTATAATTAACAAAGTGTCTTAATCAAATAATCTTGTTAACAGGCATTACAGGGAGCAGCTTAGCAATATCTTTCATTTGTATAGTTCCTTAGAATTTTGAAGTCACCTACAGAAACATCTTCCAACAAGCTATAATTGGGCAGAGCAGTTAGTATTATTCCCATGTTACTCATAAAGAAGCTGAGATTACAAGCACTAAAATTTGTATCCAATATCAGCATAGTCTGGCAATTAAGGAAACAGAATTAGAACTCAGGGACTCACGGGCACTTTCTTACCCCACACACAGACAGCTTAAAATAATAACAGCATATTAAAATAAGAATCTCTCGTAGTACATTTAAGTGTTTGGGAAACTAATAATAAACTGAAGCTGCTGAAGAATCTGTTTCTTTTAGACAGGCTTTTCTAACATCTTTGTGAGGACTAACTGAATTGATGTGTGAAATTGCATAGGACAGTGGTGGCCCTATGCATAGTAGAGATTTAATGTTTATTTTAAAATTCAGAGACTCATTTCAGTATCTCGTAATTTAAAATAAAGATTTGATGATAAAAACCCACTAAAACAGAAATGACAAAATGACAAATTTGGAAAAATAACAAATTTCTAACAGTCTTCTTAAAAATAGTTGTTGATGAGTCTTACCTTGACAGATTTTTTTCTGCTTATGGCTGTCAATCTGGGTATTTCATACTCAACCACAACTATCCATGCGCTTAACATTTTGCAGACCAGGATATCACATGAGCACCATCACTGACTGTGACTGTTAGATTTAACTAATGTGACCGCTAAAAATCAAAGTAGAGTGTTGGAAATTTTTCAGTAATGTCATTAATTCCTAAATTATTTATGAAACATATTTCCAGCATGTGAGTGGACTCCAAGCCGCAGATTTCACTCACTTTCATGTATACCTAAGGAACATGTTATGGAAACTGATCATTTTATCTGAAAATACTCATTTTTGATTACTTAATATAATACTTAGCTAGAATGCCCTCAAAGACAGAGAATCCACATCAAACTTAAGTGACTGTCTTTCAATAAGATGGAGCTTTTATACATGAACACACCACACACACAAATTGCAGAGGAATGCTGTAAAAAATAAATGATTTATAATCTTACAAATACATTATATATATTAACTAGTTTAATTCTTACCAAGATTGCCAGATAGATACAATTTTTCTACTTTACAAAGAAAGATGATGATTTCTCCCAAGGTCACATGCCTGCTAAGACAGAAAAGAATTTGAAGGACTATGGCTTCCGAAAACTATTCTGTATACCCTCACTCTCCACAGAGCTGTAACTTTTGCTATTTATGTCTAAAATGAAGACGTAAGCCTCTGCAGAATTGTTGAAGGCTGCATATTTCTATAAAAGCTGGCTTATCCTTCTAGAAGGTTCGTTTTTCCACCTTAATAAAACAAAGCAGGAATAGGTCTTTGTGTTCGCCATTCTTTCTGTCCGTAGTGGTCATGTGCTCACGTATGAACTCATGTCTGCTCTGCAAGCTCTCGAAGCAAACTTTGAATATAATAAATAAGAAACTACACTGCATATTTTTAAGACACACATTATTTTACTGTTATAGATAAGGTTATTTCAATAATAAGCCCTGAATGTTATGACAGTGAAATGCTAGTATAAATCTTTCCTGCCCAAAATGTATTCTCTTTAATTTCTATATCTTTAAAGAACAGTGGTTCATTTGGTTGGTATCCCATGAAGCTGGTTATAATTCTATATAAGACAATAATGTGATTTCTGAAATTTCAAATGAATTAATGTGATTATATATATAAACTTTTAAATATATTTTAGTCATATGTAATAAATGTTTGATTTTTTATTGATATCTCTGAAGTTGCAAAGAGTATGTTTCTCATCTGCCTTATTCACAAACTATTAGGTAATGTCTATTTAAAGTTTCTTAAATGTTAATCTATTTAATTAAGCAAAAATTGACATTAAGTTTTATTTTGCTACATGATCCTATTATCACATCACTCAGAAGTATATTTTCCAGAGTTTACACTTTGAAACAAATTGAGAAAGAAGTAACATTTGGCAGATAAAGGTGAAAAAATTCTGTTTTGGTAGGGTTCCTTTGAAAGGTTTTTATTGTATTGTTTTTGCTGAGGTTTACAAAGTTTATTCAGCTACAGAAAAATATGATTTTAATTCTGCAACTGAATTTTAACATTGGAGTCAAAATGCTCATAGGATCTGATGTTCTTGTATTAGCTTGGCTGTATGTCTTAGATATTAAACCCAAATTAGAACCAAAATAAAAGGATGGATCAACCATCTCTACCAACCATGCCAACAATGACCAACCTGGGTCACAATCACAGCAGCCACCTCCACGCAGGTGGTGGGCTGATTGATTTCCAGGTGTTATCTCAATTAGTACTCTGGCCCTTCAAGATCAGTTTCACAGATGGAGAAACTGCAGCTTGCAGCAGAGAGTAGCAGGGTTTGAGGTGGTGGAGCTGGGATATGGCTTCTTTTATATAGGTCAGCCTGGGCTGTCCAGACAGAAGGTTGTGAGTGCAGAGGTTGTGCAAATATTTACCTGAAGTTGGTATAGCGATTGTTAACTCAAAAAATGTCGATGTACATGACCCTTTAGTTGGAACAAGAGTGAAATGATTATCTCTGGCTGGGCATGGTGGCTTAATGACTGTAATCCTAGCATTTTGGGAGGCCCAGGTGGGCAAATTACTTGAGGCTGGGAGTTCGAAACCAGCCTGGCCAACATGGCAAAACCCCGTCTCTACTAAAAATACAAAAATTAGCCAGGTGTGGTGGCATGCTTCTGGAATGCCAGCTACTGGGCAGGCTGAGGCAGGAGAATTGCTTAAATCTGGGAGGCAGAGGTTGTAGTGAGTCTAGATCGCACCACTGCATTCCGGCCTGGAAGACAAAGTGAGACCCTGTCTCAGAAAAAAAAAAAAAAAAAAAAAAAAAAAAAAAAAAAAAGGTGAAATGATTATCTTGGAATTGGCACGAATTAACAATAGACGAACTGTTACCAAGTCTGAGCATCAACACTAGCATTTAAAATTGACCACATTCACTAAGGCATTTCCTATATTTTTATTTCCATGTGTTTATACCCAGGGACACCCATTGGTGGTTGGGTATGAGGCAGGCTGATCTTTATTCTCTTTGTTTTGTTGTTAAGCCTGGTACATTCTTTTTTTTTTTTTTTTTTTTGTGATGGAGTCTACCTCTGTCGCCCAGGCTGGAGTGCAGTGGCACGATCTTGGCTCACTGCAAGCTCCACCTCCCGGGTTTACACCATTCTCCTGCCTCAGCCTCCTGAGTAGCTGGGACTACAGGGGCCCACCACCATGCCCGGCTAATTTTTTTGTATTTTTAGTAGAGACGGGGTTTCACCGTGTTAGCCAGGATGATCTCGATCTCCTGACCTCGTGATCTGTCCAACTTGGCCTCCCAAAGTGCTGGGATTACAGGCGTGAGCCAACGCGCTGGCCCTAAGCCTGGTACATTCTTTAGTAAAGCAAAATAATTAGGCAGGAAACATTCTTCATTCTTGGTTGAACTAACTGCTGGCCTGTTCCATACATAGATATTAACTATGTGCCCCAGTCATGTTAGGTGATAGCACTTCTAGTGCAAAATAGCATTAACCCTTTCCTTGTTCTCACACATGCCATATTCTTAAAAATCTGAGAACAATGAAAAAAATATCTAAAACAACTTTGTTTGCTTTGCACTCTGATCCTTCCCAATGTTCAGATAGCAAGATGGAGTGAAGAGTGAAAGCCCCTTTGCCTTGGAGCAGATAGTGGCAGTGTGCTCCTCTTGACACCCCCAGGAAACAGGCCACAGGTGCATGGAGCTGTGTTCACTGTGAAGTGGATTCAGCCTGATAACATGGAATCAATGATGCCATTGAAATCAAAGCCAGATGTAATCCTGCCCACACTCTATGATAGCTGTCCTACCTCCAGAGTGTCCTTTCTTCTTCCTAGACTGTAGTTTTTCATTTATAAATTAAGGGTGTGGGGCTGGAATCATGTCTAGGTCCCTTCCAACTCTCTAATTGCAGATTCCAGGATTCTCACTGCAGATCCTTTGCCTGTTACCGTGGTGCTTGATTGCCCTGCCATGTGATGTGGCTTTTTGTGAGCATCTTTACCACTTGATTAGGGAGGAATCTGTGGGATAGCATTTTAGAAAAGTGAACTTCATAGAGGTTGCCATGTTTATAGTCATTTTAATGATGTGGATGAAATTTAAACTACCTTGTAAATAAAGAAAACTTAGACAATGGTGACGAATTCAGGGACTGGAGAGGTTGTCACATCCTTGTTAACCATTAGCAGTGTTTCCTTTAAAACAGCAGCTTTTTGCATATTAGCAAAGCGAGCATACATTGCTCATTGCCATGAGAGGTGACGACATGAAGATGGTGTGTCCTGCAGATACATTGATCCCTTTCTCTGTTTTCTCCTAGGGTTTTCCAGGAAACACAAACGCAGACAGTGTGGTGCACTACAGACTCCAGCCTCCCTTTGAAGCCAGGTTCCTGCGCTTTCTCCCTTTAGCCTGGAACCCTAGGGGCAGGATTGGGATGCGGATCGAAGTGTACGGATGTGCATATAGTAAGTGGCCTTTATTCCCTGTGTGAAATCAAGGTCAGCATGAGATTCTGTCAAAGCCAAACTGTAAAAGCCAATGTCGGCATGAAATGTTGAACTTGACTTTTTCTGTCTTTTTATATAGCTGGGCAAGCAGAACTGGTTTTTATGGAAACACTCTAGTGTCTCCCCATGACAATATGGACTTTAGTTACTGTCTTTTATAGTTGAATTTAGTGGTGGACCTGAACTGAAACTTACCTGTCTTTAGATTCCCAGAGTTTAGCAAAGTACTTGCAATATGGTAGGCATCTGATGAAACGAATACAATTCAAACTAACAACAGATGATGCTGTTTTTTTGAAGCTGAGATGATACGCTGTCTGGGAAAACAGGAGCGGTACTGGGGGCAGGGTGTGATTTCTCGCAATCTCTTGGTTCTCTGTGTTTTTCTCTGCTAACGTCCTCTTTTGCACACTGTGCTGTCGCTTCACTTGATCTTCACTTGGTGGGAACCTGTGTTTAGTCAGCCTCTTTTCTCACCTATTCTTTGTTATAAAAGTGGAAAGGATGGGGCCGACATGAATATAACACAAACAAAAAGCCGGCCGTGAAATTATTTGGTGGTACTCAGTGACACAGTTGCCACTTGATGATCTAGAACATACTTGTATTCTTTCTTTACATTATCATAAAAATGTTTTAAATTATTGTCAAAATGGAATAAAATTGAAAAATACTCCTGTATAAAACTGGAGAACAGGTCAAAGAGCAGCCTGGATGGAAATGTCTTAAGCAGCTTCAATTTGGGTCCGGCCGGATGTTCATATCACACTATTTACACACAGTCACTCCCATTCTCTGCCTACTCACAGCTTTAGCCCTGCAGAATATTAATTTTCTAAAGCATGATAACAACGTCTGTCATTCATACAGCATTTAATATCTCAGATACTATTATTTCCATTTTATTACTTAACTCCTGTACAACCCAGTTCATTTCCTAACTCTGCTTGTTTTTTAGTGTTTACATTTCTACAGGGCTAAATATAATGATGTTGCTTTACCAACAGTCTTTTTTCTTCCTGTTATTGTTCATCTCCTTCCATCCCTGTGTTTTCTGGGACCTATAACTGTGCTCTCTGTTTCAATGGCTAAGATGTCTGATATTTGGAATCTCTCTTTGATGCTGTGAAGTTACCTTCTCCTCTCATTACTCTGAAACAACTTCAGGTTTACTGACTTCAAAGTGGAACATGCTCTTTGATGGCGATTTGCCATTAGCTTGATGTTCCTTCATGAAGAGATATTACTCCAGTTCCTTGGGCTGGAGGTTGGTACCAGGAAGATCAAAGCCCCGTGCCTGATTCCAGGAAGGGCCGGTGAGCGGTGCAGCTGCCATGCAATCTGCTGGCACCGTTAACTTCTGTAAACACATGCTGTTGGCTGTAAGGGACTACTAGTAAAAAAACCCAAACATGCAGACAGATAATATGTGACCACTGCTAACTAGCTAAAAGTAATTCTTTAGAACAAGTGGACATCTACATTGTCTTTTTTTCCTTAGAAGAATAATTGTTCAAGTATGGTGATTTTATTTTTGTTGTTGACAGTAATACAATCCTTTATGACTTATGTTAATAATGGTAGTTTCAGTATTTTCCTTTGTATTTCCACTGCCCTGCTTGTTTTCTAGAACGTTGCTTATAATGACTTATAATATCCCTGCCACGCAGCATCTCTTCCCATTTATTTATTTATGTATTTATCAATTTATCTTTTTTTATTTTAAGAGGCAAGTTCTCATTATGTTGCCCAGGCTGGAGTGCAGTGGCTACAGGCACAATCCCACTGCTGATCAGCACGGGAGTCTTGACCTGCTTCATTTGGGAGCAGGGCTAGTTCACTCTTCCTTAAGCAACCTGATGGTCCTCCGCTCGGAGAGATCACCATTTGATGCTAAAATTTGTTCAGACACCTGATCATCATAGTGCACCCCTGGGCTCCATCGATCCTCTACCTCAGCCTCCTGAGTAGCTGGGACTGCCCAGCCCTAGTGTTATTAGCTTTTCTACACTTCATTTACAGTAATAGATTCATTATTCCTTTAAACTGTGTGTGTTTTCACAGACTCCTGGCTTACTCTATTTATTTCTATTTCCACTTCTAGCCTGGGGATAGGTTGTAGGTTCTCCCAGAGTTGCTGCTCAACTGCAGAATAAAGCCATGAGCACAGATGGCCTCGGGCCCTTCTTGACAGCTGTATTCTCCTGGTTTTCCATGCACCTTTGCATGCTACTCTTCTTGCCACTCCTTAAAGGCTAGCATTATCCACAGATTGGTTCTAGGTCTTTTATCCTGCTCCCAAGCTCTCTCTGAGCCTTTTATCCACTTCCATGAGTTTTCAGTAGCATTTACACACTGTGGCTGATAACTTCCAAATACGTATCCGCAACCTACTCTGAGGAGTTCCAACCTCTGGTACCAACCTCTCTTCACTGGCCCTGTGAGCACTTAAAACTCAGTTGTCTATCTGCTCATTTTCCTTTGTTTTCCATCTTATAAAACGATACCAACAGCCACCTATTGACTGAAACCTGATTCTATCTCCTAAATGTTTTGAATTTCTTTCTCTCCCTCCAGTTTAGCCTAAATGAGCACCAGCCTCCTAAATCAGCTATTTGTCTCTGGTCTTGATCTTTCCAGTTTTTAGTCCACACAATAATCAGGATGATTCCTGGAAAAACATGCACATTCGATTGTTCAAACTCGATTGTTGAGACATGCTTAAAGCTACGCCCAAGACACTAGGATTGTTTCCCAGAGGCCTTAGACAGAAAAATAAATTCCCTATGCTCTACTGCCTGTCCAGGCCTTCGAGGGCATCTCTCAAGAACAAAGGGGAACTCCCAGAATCTTAGGCCAGAACCCTATGGGTCCTTGACGCATCTATCTCTCTTGCCCTCCATGTCCAGTGAGTCACGAAATTCTGTATTCTTCCCTCCAAATTACACCTTGCATGATTTCAGCTCTCTTTAGCTCTACTACCGACTTAATCTAAACTTGGTGTCCCACAAATTATGGAAATTGCCTTCCAAGTTTAGGTCATTCTGTCTCTGTTCATAGCTGACTACATTATATTCTCCACACTGCAACTCAAGTTACCTTTTAAAAATGCAGAACTGATACAATTACGTCCCTGTTTAATACCATCAGTGGCTTTCCATTGTTCCTAAAATAACATCCAGACTCCCAGCAAGGCCTGAAGGAGCTTGTCCCTGAATAACTCTCCAGTGCCACCTCTTGCTGCCGTCACCTGCTACCTGTCCACTGTCAATTGTGTCCGGCTTTTTACTGACTCAAAGCCTTTACGCCTGCGGTCTCCCCTGCTTGAAATGCTCCTTCCCCATGTTCTCAACTGGCTATTTACTCTTCCTCTTTTCGATCTCAGTTTAAATGATGCTTCCTAGGCCCTCACTCTACATTTGTTTCCTCATTATAAGTTCCCAGGAAGCCTATAGTATGACTTCATGTGCTATAGTCACTTTTTATAGTGTATCTGTATCTGTCTTATTAGAGGCCTAGTTTCCTTTTTCCTCATTAGACTTCAGGCTACACTAGGGTAAGGTACATTCATTGCTGTAACATCAGCACCTAATACAGAGCCAGGAACATACTAAGTGCACCATAGCTTTGCATTGAGTGAATGAATGAATGAAGCAATTCAGAAAAAAAGTCTGACAGATGATAATAAAATCTGAATAATGAATCTAAATTTCAGATTATTTCTCTCTTATACTAGCCATCCAGGTAAGGCAGGTATCTTGGAGATTATATTGTTATAAAGTATAGTATTAAAAATTGTAATAACTCTAGTAAAAATAGCAAATATAAGATTTTACAGTTATGTTTCCATTCTTCCATCTGATACTTGATGCATCTTTATGTAGTAGAAAGGCAGTTATTAACACCCAGATGTTCCAAGTACGCAATCTGAGAAGCCACACCAAGGGCCGGCAGTGCAGGAGCTACAAATAGTCACCAGAGACAGGGAGAGGACTCCAGTCCTCTGACTACCAATTCCATGTTCTTGATGGATAATAACTGCCGAGGTTTCATAAAGGATCATTATATTGATACTTGTTTTGATATATTGCTATATTGATTGATGGCGGCAGCTTCTTTTCTACTTTCAGAGAGACAGCATCAAGCTGCATTGTATTGTATATAAACATTTAGTTTTTGATTCTGTGCCTTCCTCCTTTTTATCATGCCAGCTTTAATTATCCTCAATTTCAGAGTTCTTTAAATCACTCCACTTTCTTTGATATTAATGCAAAAAATAGAACAGTCCTCTTCTTGTTGTTTTCTCAAGTGGTTAGTATCCTTTCCATCTCTTTAATTCCCAGTCCGCTAGTGCAGATTTTAAGGGCTTACATTCCACTCCATGCTAGTGTTTTAGTATTTTCATTAGATAACACTCAAACATGGCTTTTGTCTGATTCATGTTTCTGTTAAACTGAGATTGGGCTTCTATTCCTTTGTAAGTCATGGGCAATAATTCATGAAGGAAAAAGAAAATGGTTAGTATTCAAGGTTGACTTCATAAATAACCAAGAAGAGCTTGGTTCGCCACTTTTTTGGTCCCTTAATGGTGGAAAATTTGGTGGGGGAGGGGGTCTGGGAGTGGTGGATTCTTCTTTAAAATTTTAATACTTGGAGCACAGCCCAGATAATTAACAGAATTCTAAAATGTTCTTTTCACGAAGATTTCTTTTATAATGTCCCAAGTGAAAATCATTTTTTATTACTCACAGGTAATTCTTTATTCATGCATTTTCTGTTACATTTTCTTATAACTTAGTCTTCAAATAGTTTTATATGTCATTCAGACTCTGTCTTACATAGCTATGCTATTACCAATCAGTCCTTTTCTTATTCATCATTCTAGCTTCACTTATAATTGGTTGAACCATATATTTGCCAGTTTTGTAGATCAAATACAGTTGAATATTAGCAGCTTCATCTGGATTAACTGAGTGCTGTACTGTTTTCCGTAGGAACAACAGACGGCAAGTGGAGGTTTCCGGTAAAACAAAACAAATAGAACAAATAGTGACTGGACAAAAGCAAATTTTATTTTCTCCCTTCCAAAATTTTACCTGTCCTTGATTAGAATTTGAGACATGGGAAATTTTCATAACTCCTGAGATGGTCCAAGTTTGTATTTCTTCATTGGTGTTCTAATGAAGTTAGAACTACCTACCTCTGTAAAGTTCCTTTAATTGTTTTATCACTTTTATATATACACGCTGTGCTAGTTTGCATCACTGGCACCAATTCTGCACCTGTTCCTTGCCAGTGCCTGTGAGTGGTGTATGCTTCCCTGCCCCCTGATTTTTGAGCCAGCCAGTGACTTCCTTTGGCTAATGGTAGGCAGAGTCAACTCTACAGTGTACCTACTGTCCTCCTTTGTGTCTACCATTAATAAGCATGCCTGAAATATGAATTCCAGTAAAATGAAAAGAGATACATGCTTTACATATTTTGAAGCTGTTTCATTAAATGCATATAGATTGGGAATTGTTTTATCTTCCTTAAAGTTGATTTTTTGTAATTATGAAATATCCTTGTTTATTTCTAATAATGCCTCCTGCCTGTAAGTCTGCATTCTCTGATGATAGTACTGTATAGCTATGCCAGATTTCTTCTGGTTAGTGTTTTCATGGAATAACTTTTTCCATTCTTTACTTTCAAACTTTTTGTCTTCATATGTAAGGACTCTTTCTTTATTATTTAAACCAAATCTGGAAATCATTGAGTTTTAGTTGGTATATTTAGTCCACTTATATTAAATGTAATTACTGACATATGTGAAATTGTAGCTGACATGTTACTCTCTGTTTTATATTTGGTTCACTTGTTTTATACTCCTTTTTCTCTCCTCTTCTTTTGGGTTAATCAAGTTTAATTTTTCCAGTTTTTCCACTATTGTTTGCTGTTCTAATTTTGTTCTCCTAGGTACTTGAGCTACTACTTTTATCACTTTCCAAACAATACTAGGATTTAAGTACAACTTATGTTAGTTTAGTTAAACTCCTCCCACCATGTGTGCTATGTTGACACATTTTAGTTTCATACATACATGTGTATATGTGTACATATATTTTAATCACAAAATTTAATATAATTTTTTTTGCAATCAGTATTCACTTGAATTTACTCACATATTTACTTTCTCTGCATTTTCATGCTCTTTCTGAATCAAATTCTTTCAGCTAGAAAGACTCCTTTTAATATTTGTCTTAGCCCAGTTCTACTGGTAATAAATTGTCATATAGCTTTTGTTTGCCTGAAAATTGTCTTTATTTTATATGAACTTCTGAAGGCTGTTTCAGCTTGCTGGAGAATACGGTCTGTAGTTATTTTCTTTCGGCCTTTTAAAGATGGCATTCTATTGTTTTCATGATGTTTATTAAGAAATCAATAGGTAATTGATTTTTATCCTATAAGGGAAATGTGTATTTTTCTTCTGGTTACTTTTGAGAATTTATTATTTGTCTTTGATTTTCAGCAGTTTTGCCTTGATGTGGCTATTTTAGTTTTCATTGAATTTGTCCTCTTTGGATTTCACTAAATTTCTTTTTTCTATGCAGTGATTATTAGATTGGGTAATTCTTCACTGTTACTTCTTCAAAATATTGCTTCTGTCTCGCATTTCCTTTCCTCCTTTCTGAGACTCCAATTACATCTGTCTGAGATGTTTGTATCTTATTTTCTTTCTTTGTCTCTCTCTTTCTCCCTCCTCCTGCTTCTCTCTCTCCCTCTCCTCTTTCATCTTTTCTTTCTATTTATGCTGCAGTCTAGACATTGTGTACTGCTTTATCTTCTATACTACTAATCAGATCTTCTGCTGTGACCAATCTGTTGTTGAATATGCCAGTGAGCTATTAATTTTAGTTACTGTGATTTTCAGTTTGGGAATTTCTGTTCATGTATCCTAGTGAAACTCCTTATCTTGCTGCCTATTTTCCTGGAAATATTAATTACAGTTATTTTAAAGATTTTTCGTTAACTTCAATATCTGGATTATCTCTTGATCTTTTCCATTGTCTGGTTTTTGTTTCCGTTTTGATGTCTGATAATTTTGGCTGAATTCTGGACATGTTGGACAGAAATTTGTAGAGGCTAGAGAAGACAAAGTGATCCCCCAGCGAATCCCCACCACAGCCTCTGTTAGGCTTCTAGATTAGGCACAGATGTTAATTCAAATAAGCATTTAACTGACTCAGTGCAGCGTCTCAGTCCCCATGAGGCCTAGTTGATATCTTATATCTGGAGTACAATGCTTCACTAGTCCCAACTGAGATTTGAAGGCCTTTGCCAAAACATTTTTTTGAAAATCTCTGAATTCTGCCATCTGACTCCTAATTATGATGAGTCTACAGAGACCCCTGCTTCGTGACCCAGCCTCATAGCTGTCCTGTCACTTTCTGCTTGGCCACCTTGTCTCTTGCCCATTGCTCCTTGGGAGTTGACCAGTGCTTCAAGGGTAGAAGCAGAAAGAGTGTTCTGAGCTTGTCTTCTAAGATCTTTACATTCTTGAGTCCTGGCAGTCGTAGTAGATCTTTAAAACTTTCAAGAAGATTATTTAAACTTTACTTGGTACACATTTTCTACTTGTCCTTGGTAGGAAGTGTAGTCTTCTGAATGTTTGCTTGTCATAACTGAAAATATAACTAACTGCATTTCTTTTAATGCCATGGGAAATGTGTTGAAGAAAACAAAGTGTATATAATTTTTTCATATAATAATGTGTTTATAATACAATCTACTTAATATTTTGGAAAATTATTTTTCTGTAAAACACTGAAGTGCTAATTAAATTTCAACAAATTTTTTTAAAAATAAATAAAGCTGGTCACAGTGGCTCATGCCTGTAATCCCAGGACTTTAGGAGGCCAAGGCAGGCAGATTACTTGATTGCCCAGCCTGGGCAACACAGCAAAACTCCATCTCTACAAAAAATACAAAAATTATCTGGACATGGTGGTGTGTGCCTGTGGTCCCAGCTACTCAGTGGGCTGAGGTGTGAGGATTGCTTGATCCCAGTGAGGTCAAGGCTGCAGTGAGCCAAGATCATGCCACTGCACTCCAGCCTGCGTGGCAGAGTGAGACCCTGTCTCAAAAAAAAAAAAAATTTGTCATAAAAAAGTAAAATAAATAGAAACTCAAAATAAGATGAAAAAGTAAATCCCTGTCCATCAGAAATAAGTAAGTTGAAGAATTGGAATGTGAACCTACTCACAGAGGATTCCAGACTCTGTGCAATCAACTATCTTTACCAGGAAATGGGAGAAGGAGAAAAGAGAGAGGAAAGAAAAGAAATAGAGAGGAAAGATCATGCATGAAAATTAAAGAGAGAGATCAAGGCCTTTACTGAGAATGCAGAACCAAGGCCTGTTTTCCCTAAGTTCCTCTTATTATGCCCAGAAGGAAAGAAAATATGTGAGTGAATAAAGGCAAATATTTCCTAGGAAAGCTTTGTGTATTCATCGATTGCAGGATTCAATATTCTTATCATCCTCCCCGAATTGATCTACAGAATCCCAATACATCTATTCTAACTTATTATTATATTAAAATGAATCATCACTAGTCTTTAGAGAAATAAAATCACAATGAGAAACCACTATACACCTAGCAGAAAGGCTAAAATTAAAAAGGGTGGAAACACCAAGTGTTTGGCAAAGATATGGAATTCTCATACATTGCTGGTGGGAAATGTGAAAATGATACTATCACTTTGGAAAACAATTTGGCATTCTTCTAAGCTAAATATACACTTAATATATAGCTCAGCAATTCCACTCCCATGTATTTACCCAGCAGAAATGAATGCATATGTCAACATAAAGATGTATGTGTGAATGTGCCTAGCAGCTTTATTTATAATAGTTTAAACCTGGAAACAGTTCAAATGTCTATCAGCAGGTAAATGGATAAACAAGTTGTCAAACAGTTGAATACCCCAAGCAATAAGAAAGAACAGACTGTTGATATATGCAACAGCATGCGTGTATCTCAAAAACGTTACACTTAAGAAGGAACGCAGACACAAAAGAACACATACACGATACAATTTTATGAAATTTTGGAACTGACAAAACTAATCTGTAGTTATGGAATGTAGATCATTGGTTTCCTGGGTCTGGGTCTGGGTGACAGTGTTGGGGGTTTGATGCAAATGGCAATTAGTGAGTTGATATGAAATTGCCTACACCTTGATTTTTTGGCAATAAGGTAGGTATATATATTTATTAAAACTCATTGAACTATAACCTTAAATTTATTGAATATAAATTATAACTCTATGAAAATGATATTCATGTTTCCATATTGGAATTGTGGGTTTTGTTGTTGTTTTTTTGAGAGAGAGTCTCTCTCTGTTGCCCAGGCTGGAGTGCAGTGGAGCAATCCTGGCTCACTGCAACCTCTGCCTCCTGGGTTCAAGCTATTCTCCCACCTCAGCCTCCTGAGTAGCTGAGATCACAGGCATGCACCACTACACCCAGCTGATTTTTTGGTATTTTTAGTAGAAATTTTACCATGTTGCCCAGGCTGGTCTTGAACTCCTGACCTCAAATGATCCACCTGCCTTTGCCTCCTAAAGTGCTAGGATTACAGTGTGAGCCACTGTGCCTCACCCCATATTGGAATTAACATTCAATTTATTTAGAGAGTAAACCTCTGTAATCTGCCCATTATCCCTGATAAATCATCCTGAAGCCTTCGTGTCATCACAGCTACCTAGTTAGCTTATTAAATATGCAAACCCCTGGGTCTCAACCACAGAAATCCTGATTCCTGGTCTGGTTGAGGCTCACGTTCTAAAGTCTCCAAGTGATCACTCCTAGTCAATCTGAGTGAAGGTGGTTGATAGAACACTTTAAGAAAATTTCTGTGGAATCGTGTTTTTTTTTTTCTTCTGTAAGACATCAGTGTTTGCACCCTATGGAATCTTGCTGTTTTCAAGCAATGTTGATGTTTCCTCTGAAAAGGCAGTACAAGGTAGGATGGGGATGAGACATGCCTGTGCTTAGAATGACAGTGAGAAGCAGAAAAGTAGTAATGAGAAGCCAGAGTTAAGAGTACATTCTGGGTGTGAAAAATGTGAAAGTAGGCCAGGCGGGGTGGCTTATGCCTGTAATCTCAGCACTTTGTGAAGCTGAGGCGGGCAGATTGCTTGAGCCCAGGAATTCAAGACCAGCCTTGGCATCATAGTGAGACCCCCCATCTCTAGAAAAAAAGTAAAAAATTAGCCAGGCATTGTAGTGCATGCCTATAATCCCAGCTACTTGGGAGGCTGAGGCTGGAGGATCACTCTAGCCCAGGAGTTCAAGGCTGCAGTGAGCTGTGAAGATACCACTGCACTACAGCATGGGCAACGGAGTGAGTCTCTGTTTCTAATAAAAGTAAAATGTGAAGGTAAAATATGGCTTAAGGAAATAAAGGAAATAGCAACTCAAAATTACTTATGTCTTAGCTTTTCAGAGACGTCATACTTTGCAGGAGTCTAAAGCAGGTAGACTCCTTCCTTATCCTTTCTTAGAAGTCATTCTGGACCAGATGCCTGTTTACAGAAGCATCACTGTGAATGTGGCAGAAACAATCGTATTTCAGGATTATATGACCTTTTTTCCATACTGTGGGATCCTTAAAAGTAATTCATTGTCTTCTGCATTTTTATCTTTCACCTAGCATATGGAAGGCTTTCAGTGAATATTAGCTGTATGAATGAGGACATAACACATTTTAGCAAAATTACTTCTGACACAGTTCTTCCTTGTATGACAAAGTTCTTTATCTACAAGAATTCGTATTTGGGAACTTTGTGAACACATCTGTCCTTAGCTTTTCCGATATTCTTTGAGGAAGTGTGACAAAAACATTATAATTGCACCAATAATCTTCAAGTATCATTTAAAAACTCTAGTGGTCCTCTAACACAAGAAAATGAGATAGATATATTAATACTTCTGAGTAAGATTTAGGTTACCAGTGATTGAAGTGAGTCAGCCCAGGAACAAGCTGGCTGGCAGAGAAGGAGCTGTGTAAGTGTGGATGAATGGTTGTAAATCTCTTTTTCCTGGTGGAAACTGAAGATTTCCTAGGTCCTTCAAAAATTAAATCCGCTATCATTTTAAGCTGTCTACTTTCCTATATATCCCCTATGTGCTATTTTAAACTCATTTCCACCTCTTTTTCTGCCCAGTGCCCTGACAATAATAATGAAGCCGTCGTTCACTGAAGGTACCCCATGTGCCCAGCACTGTTGTAAAAGTACAAATACTAACTCATTTAACCCTCGCAACGACCTTGTGAGAGAGGAGTGTATGTATTCTCACTTCACTTATGAGTAGACTGAGGCAGAGAGAGGCTATGTAACTTATCCAGGATGGAGCCAGGATTCAAGCCCACGCAGTATATACTCTAGTGTACTAGAAAATGTAGCTCCTGATCTAATGGTGACAGACTAACGTGTCAGGGGTCCACATTGCTAATACTGATTGAGATTCAGCAATCAAAACTATAATCTTAATTAATAAAGCTAATAATTATAAACTAAATTCATATAAAATTAGAAAAGCACTTCCTGCTTTAAACCACAAGCTAAGTTTTCTTTATTCATTTTGGATAGCAAGGCTTTCATTCTGAAAACTTTGAGGAACGTTGGATTTTATCGTAAACATAATAAGTGACATTAATTTTCCAGTATCCCACTACATTTCCTATTTATATAATTGAATTTCATACAAAGGATTTTTTCCAACAGGTTTCTGAGAAAAGATTATATTAAATGTGTTACTGGAATTATTTTATTTTAGTGTATTATTCAAATATATATTGTAGGGGAATATTTGCATTGATTATGGCTAGGTAGAACTGTTTTTTTCTTGAAATGGGGTCTTGCTGTGTTGCCCAGGCTGGGGTGCAGTGACACAAGCACTGCTCACTGCAGCCTCCATCTCCCAAGCTCAAGCGATCCTCCCACCTCCCCCTTCCAAGTAGCTGGGAATATAAGCAAGTGCGACCAGTCTTGCCATGCTGCCCAGCCTGGTCTCGAACTCTTGGGCCCAAGTGATCTGCCCGCATCAGCCTCCCTAAGGGCTGGGATTACAAGCATGAGCCACTGCACCTGACCAGCTGGGAGAACTTTTCTTTGCTCTTGCAAGTGTTTTAAAATGCTAAAAGTATGACTTTTGTGGACAAGTGGGAAGAGAGTTTACCTTTTAGCATTACTTCTAAGGACCAAGACTTGAAATTTTGCTTCTCCAGTGGGAGGATCTTATTCAAGAGGGACTACATGGGCGTTGTCCCTCTCCAGTGCTGATCTTGGTGGGCTCGTTACTGTTGACTTATTGAACTCAATGCTTTCCATCCCAAACATCATTTTTTGTTTCATATTTTTATGTATTGACTTCATAAATCATAGAATGTTTAATGATTTTTAGAAAGTTTGGATTTGCAATTCATTAATCTGCTTTTATTTTAAAATATGCATAATGAGCTATAAGTATATTCTTAAATTTCTAGATACAAGCACTAGCGATTACAGTAAAGAAAAAATCAAGGTATTAGCTAAAGAACAAAAGAGTTTCAAGGTCATTGCTTTATGTCTCTTTTACTTGATAAGTGTTTTACTATTCTATTTGCCTGAGGGAAACATTCCAGGAACTGTACTTCACATGCCTTAGAAGATCAATACTGCTGTTGGAGAGTAATAGTAAACATAGAATGAGAAAAAGAAATGTATAGGTTGCAATAATCCAGAAAAAACCTTTTCGGGAAGAAAACTTTTTTTGTTAGTCAACTAAAAAAAAAAAATAGCTCAAATATTAGCATTTTCTTTAAGCAACAAATAAAGACATGATTATAAGTATTAGGGCAGTGCTAAAAATGTGAAAGTCTGTAGTCAATCTTTTTCAGGTTTCCCTTAGTTCATGGCCAGGTAATAATAATCTTAGATGTCTTCATTTACATTTGACAGAGAGTTTTGTTTTTATCATGAACATATAATAAGTTATGTAACAAGGAATAATTGTTTAATTTACACATATTTTACTCAGAATGTGTTTATTCATCATGCACTTGATACATTAATTCCTTGTAAGTACATTAACCCAATGTGAGAAAATCAAACTTCTAAATTTTAAAATGATACATAAAATGGAGAACTTTTGAAGTGCAGTTTATTATATGTATTTCAGATAATGTGAATGAAATGGATAGCCATGCAAAAAGTACTAGTAATATTTTTGTGAAATTAAATATAATTAAACAATGCCATCTTATTGGCTTGAATGACATCAGCTAGTCAGCTTCAAATAGTTTCATATTTCACTAGGTTTTCATGCATCTTCATTTATTAAATAAATATATTTTTCAAAGGACAATTGCTTATTTTTCTTTTTACTTTTAAAAAGAAGAGATTTTCTGGGTAATATTAATTTCTTCATGTGATTTTGACAAATATTATCAAATATTATTTTATATTACTGATAAAATGAAACAACTTGTTTTTTGATGAGCTGAACATATGTGACATTTATAGTGAATTTATAAGACCCTGACAGAGTGCTGAGAGAGTGTGGCAGCATTGGAGTTCTGACAAGCTACAGCAGGAAGAACCAAAACAGAGGTGTTAAGGCCATGCTCTCTCAACAAAGCATCCAAGAAAACAAAACCTCTGTGCCTTTGTCAGACAGGGCTCTCCAGAGAAACAGAACCAATAGGATGTCTGTGTGCCTGTGTGTGTGTGTGTGTGTGTGTGTGTGTGTGTGTGTGTGTGTAGAGAGAGAGAGAGTTTTAAGGAATTGGCTTACCTGATTGTAAGGACTGGCAAGTCCTAGGTAAGAGGTGATATTGCAGCTGGAGTCCAGAGGTTGTCTGGAGGCAAAATTCCTTCTTTCCTAGAGAACTTCAGTTTTCTTTCTTTCTCTTACAGCCTTCAACTGATTGGATGAGGCTCACCCACGTTATAGAGTTTAACCTGCTTTACTCAATGTTTACTGATTTAATATTGATTACCTCTAAAAAATACCTGCACTGCAACATCAAGACTAGTGTTTGACCAAAAGCTGTTTACCATGGCCTAGCCAAGTTGACACATTGCAGTGCCCATTAGCAGTACCATTAGCCAAGGGTTGAGAAAAATATTACATGTCAGCTCATTTAAAATACATTTATTACATGTCTAAAGCAGTATTTAATAAGTATGATATGTGTTTCTGTATCTTTACAGACAAAATCTTTAGTAAAGTAGGTACATGTGTAAGAATCAAGAGAAGCCAAAGCTACTGGGAATGAACAAAGGTATTTAAATTGAGTGACACTGATATTTAATATAAGAATGACCTTAAAATAAATAATTTATGTAGTGAAATACAGCTTCTTTCCTGATTGTTTTTAATCAAACAGAATGAGAAGAAATGGGCTGCTCTAAAGATAAGAGCCATTGGGAGTAGATTAATAAAAGCATTTCTAGATGATGAAGTTTGAGAAAATGTTAGAAAATTCTAACGGTGGATATTACATATATCAACTCATGATGCCACCAGAAAATATATTATTGTCAGTTGTTTCCTTCAATGAATGGCTTAGAAATACAATGTGTGTCTATGTGTGTGTGGTGTGGCATATTGATGCACACATTTTCAATGTGCTACTGTATGACATATTTATATTTAGAATTGCTTTCTAATATCTTCTTTCCTAGAATCTGAGGTGGTTTATTTTGATGGACAAAGTGCTCTGCTGTATAGACTTGATAAAAAACCTTTAAAACCAATAAGAGACGTTATTTCTTTGAAATTTAAAGCCATGCAGAGCAATGGAATTCTACTTCACAGAGAAGGACAACATGGAAATCACATTACTCTGGAATTAATTAAAGGAAAGCTTGTCTTTTTTCTTAATTCAGGTAAAAAAATACTTGAACTTTTATACCAGTAGTTAAAAAAAATCTGTTTACATTTGTTGGTACTCAGTCTTTTCACAGTTAGATAAAATGACCATATAATTCATCATCTAAACCAGAACACCTTTAAGAAATAAAAAATACACAAGTGATAGTTACTCTGGGACAGTAAGTGCAAAGTAGAACTGCAATGAACAAATGTAAATGAAAGTTTAAGAGCATTACTACCAGATGCATGCAATACATACATATCCTAAGTATGATTTCTGTAAACAGCATATATTTTGACAAACTGTGCAAGATCACCATATGTGTGTATAATATATATGTAATATATGATTATCCATATCATAAAGACAATACATCATTATAAAATTATGAGATAATGCTGATAATGAGGTTCTAAGAAAGAAAATATTTGCATTGTAAATCCAAATGTCATGAGTAATAGAAAAAATACTAAGAAAAATTTCAACAAAGTGTAGAATTGAACTTAAAAAAAATAAAAACAGGGTAAGGTTATTGTGTTCAAGATAGGGAGAAAGTGAGAAAACAACTCTGTAAGATGGAAAGTTGGATGCAAACTGTGATGCTCAACTAAAAAAGGGAAGCTGTGATTTTGAACAGAAATAACTGTTTTTTTCCTTCTCCTTTAAGGCAATGCTAAGCTGCCTTCCACTATTGCTCCTGTGACCCTCACCCTGGGCAGCCTGCTGGACGACCAGCACTGGCATTCCGTCCTCATCGAGCTCCTCGACACGCAGGTCAACTTCACCGTGGACAAACACACTCATCATTTCCAAGCAAAGGGAGATTCCAGTTACTTGGATCTTAATTTTGAGGTTATTATAGATATATAGTTTAAATTAAATATAACCTGAAAAATAAGGTAGCTGCATAGAGAAATGCCATTTTATAGTAATTCATAACTAAGTTGACTAATAGTAATAGGTATGGTATGTCTGTCCCGGTACTATGAAACTGTTTATGCCTTCTAATAGGTCAGTTTATTATAATAGATCATCTTTTCCACCTTGGAAAGAAGTAAACAGTCAGTGTTAGGTTTAGGAAATCCACAAATGCAGAAATACCAAAGTAGCAAGCATTGTTATTAAATGTACTCATTTGAATATATTTCATTTGAAATTTCATCTGGTATATTACACTTGTTGTTTGACTATGCAGATTCCTGGGGGATTTTTTTTCTTGTCTTGGTGCAATCCTAACCAACATAGCATTATTTAGGATCACTTTGAGAAGTTAACAAGATATACACCAATAGATTTATTAAATAACAAGAAAAGTCAGATGCTCACATATAAATAATATCCTGATATTTTTTAAGTCATTAATGCTTTTTGCAACCCATTGCCCATATGTATCTAAGCTACACTGTTAAATAGCATCTATTCTTTCAGTCCTTTACAGGACACCTTAAAGTGTATGAAGGATCATAACAAACCAGAAAAACTGTGATATTTACTGGCGTAAGTGGCTTTGGCATATAATATTAAACTGAAGATCCTAGTCCTATACCGGATTATTCAGTTTTATTACTTTAATTTAACCATGTAATAGCAAAAGATAATATCTAATGCAGAGGTTGGCAAACTATGGGCATCAGGCCAAGTTTGGACATTTTTTAATTAAAAAAATACAAAGCCTGTTTTTGTTCAAAAGAGAAGGTTTTATTGGAACATGTTCTCTTTCTTTATGTATTGTCCGTGGCCACATTGGTACTTCGTGTCAGAGTTGAGTGCTGCAAAAGAGATCATATGACCCACAAAGGGTAAATTTACTACATGGCTGAAAATTTCAATGTGGCAGAAAATGTGTGTTGACTTCTTCCTTTTAAGTTTGTTCAAAACTGTGTGGTGCCAGAAATAAAGGTATTAACAGCTGTCATTATGATAGAACACTTCATTTGGAATAAGCAAGCATGCAAATATAAGATAATGGGAATGGATTTGTGACAGTTAGTACTAGACCTATTAATTATAAATGCTTTAAACACGTACCATCAGAAAATCACTAAACAATGTTATTTATGTCATTTTTCTTTCTAAGATCAGCTTTGGGGGAATTCCGACACCCGGAAGATCGCGGGCATTCAGACGTAAAAGCTTTCATGGGTGTTTAGAAAATCTTTATTATAATGGAGTGGATGTTACCGAATTAGCCAAGAAACACAAACCACAGATCCTCATGATGGTAAGGAAGCCTAATGGGAAGGAAAGAAAAAAGGACATTTTATTTTTTGCATTTAAAAATTATTCATGTGAAGTCTCCATTTCATCTAATATTTTAAGAATCAGTTCTTACTTTAACAGCTGCCCATGTAATATAGTAATTTAGTTTTATTTATTTATTTATTTTTAAGACAGAGTCTCCCTCTTGTCTCCCAGGTTGGAGTGCAGCGGCGCAATCTCAGCTCACTGCAGCTTACGCCTCACAGGTTCAAGCAATTCTCCTGCCTCAGCCTCCTGAGTAGCTGGGATTACAGGCGCCCGCCACCATGCCCAGCTAATTTTTGTACTTTTAGTAGAGACGGGGTTTCGCCATGTTGGCCAGGCTAGTCTCGAATTCCTGACCTCAGGTGATCTGCCTGCCTCGGCCTCCCAAAGTGCTGGGATTACAGGTGTGAGCCACTGGGCCTGGGCCAATTTTTTTTTTTTTTTTTTTGAGACGGAGTCTCACTCTGTCGCCCAGACTGGAGTGCAGTGAAGCTCTGCCTCCTGGGTTCACGCCATTCTCCCGCCTCAGCCTCCCGAGTACCTGGGACTACAGGTTCCCACCACCATGCCCGGCTAATTTTTTATATTTTTGGTAGAGACGGGGTTTCACCATGTTAGCCAGGATGGTCTCGATCTCCCAACCTCGTGATCTGCCCACCTCGGCCTCCCAAAGTGCTAGGACCACAGGCGCACTTTTTTTGTTTTTGTTTTTGTTTTTGTTTTGAGATGCAGTCTTGCTCTGTTGCCCAGGCTGGAGTGCAGCGGTACAGTCTTGGCTCACTGCAACCTCTGCCTCCTGGGTTCAAGCCATTCTCCTGCCTCAGCCTTCCGAGTAGCTGGGACTACAGGTGTGTGCCACCACACCCGGCTAATTTTTTTTAGTACAGACAGGGTTTTGCCACATTGGCCAGGCTGGTCTCAAACTCCTGACCTCAGACGATACACTTGCCTCGGCCTCCCAAAATGCTAGGATTACAGGCACGAGCCACCTTGACCCAGCCTAATATAGTAATTTTTATTATGCATAAAAAGTTATAAAGTAAATATGCCTCATGGGACATCGTTGTTTCATTTTTATATGAAATAAAATAACTTTCTATTTTTACATGGAAATCAGAATTCATATGTCTCACGTGTTTTTGGTGTTGTTATCCACAGGAGACCAATCATTTTGCAATGGCAATCCCTAATGATCTATTCCCTAATCAACTGGAAATACTTCCAAATCAGTTAATAAACTTCTTTCAATGTTTAAAGTTTGAAATATCCAAGTTTGGGTTAAAGGGAAAGCTCATGTTTAGTTGTCAGTGTATCTCAGCAGCACATCATGGGAATATTTATTTGTATTGTTGGGAACATGTTTTCTTTCCTGTTATGTGCTGGAGGAGTTGGCTCATGGGTTGCAGGACCAAAACCTGAAAATATCTCTGACTGTGTGTCACCAGACCACACAATGAATACATCACTTAGGTTAGCATGAGAAAAAGGGAAAAACAGCTGTGAAGCCCATGAACTTTCCAAGAAGGTAAAGGAGAAAAAAAAAAAAAAAAAAGATGGGTTTGAAGTCTAAGTTTTACTATGAACAGCACCCTGCTGAGATCATAAAAATGAAAAATACCATCAAGATACATGAAAAAGGAAACACCAAAGGGAAGAGTGATAACAAGGCTCCACAGAGTGCAGTTTCCTTTGACAAGATGAAAAAGAAATGAAAAGAGGAAGGAGATAAATGGAACAGCCCTCTACCTAAAGTTTCTGTCCATGGAGAAACTGACATTTAAGTGCTGCTCAACAGGAAAAAGAAAAAAGACCTGGTTATTGAAGTTGGCTTTGTTGGAGATGCGTTACTCAGATACAGATACAAAGATGGGTTTGGCCAATGGGCATCCGTGTCAAGAAGCCTGACCTAACACGTTCTGAATATTAAGCTACCTTTTATCTGCCAGTCCTTGGTGTTCAGAAGAATCCCTCCTCCTCACCCTAACTTCTATGGGGCTATTTACAAAGACACTGTCATTGAAGTGAGGAAGAGTGAGTTGGGCCTTATGACACAAAGAGACAAGACTATTTGAGGACAACAGACACAGGTTTTCATATACATTCCATGTTATTCTGAATTACTGATGGGTTCACTGATGGAATTATTGAGTATAGCCAATAAGGAGAACCACAATTAAGCTGGTATCTCTGGGTTCTGGATATCATCCTCAAGAAAACTATTTACTAATTACATTGAATGAGGTTATTAAAATGTGTAAGTTTCACACAAAAACAAAAAGACAATTCATTCCAAATTGTGCATATGGATATATAATGTTAATTATGGGAATTCCATTTTAAGAATTACTACAATTCTATGTGTTCTGTATAAAAACAGGAAAATAGTTGTTCCAATATATAAAAGGAAAACATTTAAAAATGTATTTTGTTGGGAAAATCAGTTGCCAGAATTCATTCAGTCAACTAACAAGCACTCCTCTGTGGCAAGAAGCCCTGCCTCTCTGTTGTAGCAGGCAGCTACCCACCTAAATGATGAGGTCAAGAAATATACAGCTGATAAAAAGATAAAAAATATGTAATAGTCCAGTGATTACATGTGTACTATGGATCAGTGCCAATTACTTGTAAGCTTTTGGTATTTAGTTTGTTACAGCAAATGTTTTCTTTTTTAAATTTTCTTCTGCAAATGTTTTCTTGTCATGAAAACTGTTTCCCATTTGGCAGAATTACAAAAATAGTCAAGAAGAAATGTTCTGATTGATGTATACAGTTAGAATGTGTATTAAAGATTATTATAAAATGATAACTGAATTATATCCATTTCTAAAGTATGTTGGGACAGAATTTTTTAAAAATGTGATTCTGTTTTGAAAATTGTTTTACCACTGGATCAGTGTGGTTCTTAAACTTGGCTTTATCTTGGAGTCACCAGAGGAGATTCAAAAGATACCATTACCTGGCTCTACCTCCAGAGATCGGGATTTTAATTGGTCTGTATCTGGATTTTAAGAGCCCTTCTGGTGATTCGACTGTTTAGCTAGGTTTGAGAGCCACTACCCTAGATTATCTGTCCTGCTCCAGTAACATTCTTTTTCTAAAATCATTTATAGTATATTAGAAATAAATCCATGGAAATTCCAAGTAAAATCAGAATTACTGGGGTTTTTCTCTGGAACTGAAATTCCTATGTGTGAATAATGCCCAAGAATTGCTTATTCCTTTCACCAGCCAAACAAAGCAAAACAAACAAACAAACAAAAACCATTTAAAAACCTAGTAAGATGTTGACTTACCAGATATTAAAGCATACTAAAAGCTTCTATACTAGAATCAGTATGGTAGTGGATAGGAACAGAGAAGTCAGTAGAACAGTCAAGATCTCAGAAAGATCCCAGTTTATGTGCAAAGTTGTTAGTAACAAGGAATGTGGCTCAATTCAGTGGAACAGGGATGAATTATTTCTGAAATTCTGCCGGAACAAACAAGTGTCCATAAGGCAGAAAATAAGCATGATCACTATCTTATACACACTAAGAATATGTAAATTAAAGAGGATGAGAAACAAACAACAATCTTAAAGAAAATCTATGAGATTGTATGTAGGACCTAGGGTAGTATGAAACTTTCTTAACAAAGATTGGAAACTCAGAAGCTGTAAAATACAATATAGACATAATTGACTATATAAAAACATCAATGTTTTCATGCTAAAAATACTATATGCAAACATTGCATATAACTATTAGATCTGAAAACCATTTGAAAGGCTGTCAAATATAACTTTCCAACAGCTAAAAATATGACCCATACAAATATCAAATAAGCATGTGTCAAAGATTTAGTCAATTCATTAATGAGGGAACCAGTAAAATAGTAAGCTGGTTCAAAAGAGATTTTGAGGATTGTGTAGAGAAGACCAAATGTTGCTCAGGAGAAAGACTGAGTATGAAAATGTCCTGTTATTTGCTGTATCCTCAGGGCTAGCACAGGGCCTGGAAAATAGCTGGCATAGATTAAACTCCTGTTGAACTAAAATTATATTGAGACTCCTTTACTAATGCTGAGAAGTAGAGAAGTGGAGAATTTCTCACACACACACAGAAAGCCACATGGATGTGTGCCCAATTATAATAATACTTATGTTGAAAGAGAAGATAAATGTTATAGATTTCAGCTTTAGCAGGCAGACTAATCCTGGATTGATAAAAAGCCTTGTACGTCTTCGTAAAATCTGGCTTTAATTAGATAGAAGCACCACCTGTAAGGCTGCTCAATGTGCTCTTTTGTTTTATTTATAGGGAAATGTGTCCTTCTCATGTCCACAGCCACAGACTGTCCCTGTGACTTTTCTGAGCTCCAGGAGTTATCTGGCTCTGCCAGGCAACTCTGGGGAGGACAAAGTGTCTGTCACTTTTCAATTTCGAACGTGGAACAGAGCAGGACATTTGCTTTTCGGCGAACTTCGACGTGGTTCAGGGAGTTTCGTCCTCTTTCTTAAGGATGGCAAGCTCAAACTGAGTCTCTTCCAGCCGGGACAGTCACCAAGGAATGTCACAGCAGGTAACAGTTGTATTCCCATAAACCTGACATATCCACACGGAAATCATTTGGTAATTAGTGAGTGAGTGAGGCAGTGAGATGCTCCATGCCCCCACTAGAGGAACAGATTGCTGTTTCCTTTTAGACTGTTCTGTGTGGTACACCCCGCTGCCACTAAAGTGTTCTTTTGACCAAAATGACTATGTATGAGAAATATGAAATGCATATTTCTGCAGACATACCTTCCCATATACAAGGAATATCCTTGAGCTCCATTTCCTGACAAACATATACCAGCCTCCATCCCAAAGAACTAGGGTCAGGACCTCATGGAACAGACAATACCTAGAGGCACATTCCTCTCCTGTCCTCCTCCTCCTTTCCCTTCTCCGCCCCGCCGCTCAGGGTCTGTGCACAAATATTCTATACACAGTAGGCAATTGATAACTATCACTTTACAGGGAAAGATGCCCGGCAAATACCAAGAGTTCTTATTCTTTCGTTGATGGCTGATTCGTTTTCTGGGATAGCTGGGCACCCTGGAAGAATCTCAGCTCCTCCACTTACTGCCCTTCTGAAATGTAAATCACGAAGCCTCCTAAGCCTCAGCTGTTTTCACTTGTGAAGTGGTAAACCTCAGATCTCCTTTGCAGGGAGAACAATAGGAAGTCTGATTTTATTAGCACAATGCCCACCCCACACACAGGCCCTCACATCCCCACTCCCCATCAGGGCCTGTTTTTGTTGGGCAAATGCTAGGTTAGGGGCTCAAATCCCATGAAGCCAGACTGAGTTACAATAGATGGGAACTAATCTCACATGCAGTCAGATGTGGGCAAGTTTGTTAACTACAGAGCTGCTGGATTTTGATGATTTTGGATTTGCAGATGGGAGGAGCACTGGGTCCTAAATTGACATTGTGCCTAAATTGGCATCGGAACTAAATGGGGGCTTTAAAAAAAAAAAAGCGTAATCTGAAAAAGAAAAAGGCACAGACGAAGAGGCTGACTTCTGCTTGAGACCAGGGGGTAATCATACTCAAAAAAAGATTCCTTTTGGCTGTAAGAGGCACACGTGACTATACTGCTATTAAATGTTGTGGTATAAAAGCACGATTTCAAGACCCGTGAAGAAATTCAGAGGGCGGGGCCTTATCTCAGTACTTCTGGAACAATCAGGCAAGTCCTGGGTGTTAGAATCTATGTCCACCTCACACAGGTGTTTCAGGGGAGATAAAACAGATATTCAGAGGGGACGTATATTTTTTATCTTTTAGAAATGCAAACCTAGTTTCCATTTCCTCACGAATAAGATTTTTTCCAAGAAAGGTTAAAATCGTGACCTACACACAGATACAGAATGAACACATGTCAGAGATTTTCTTTAACTCATTGATGAGAGAACCAGTGTTAGGGAAATAAGTAAAGATAAAATGGCCCACCAACATAGTGAATCAGTTTCACAAGGTAGAAATGAAATAATCTTATTATGGAATAAGTATTAAGCCAGACTGTGATGTACATTTCAGGCAATCGCTAATGTGATTGCAAAGATAAAGAAATTTCATCCATTTATATAGCCAGGCAGATACAACCCATTACATACATGTTCTAAAGATAAAGGACAGCTTGTCCTCAAGTAAGAGGACTTGACAGCGCCGTTTGCTACACAGCCCATCTTACATTCACCTGGTGATTGGGGAGGCACACTCCTTTATGCAAAGGAAAACTAAACTCCATGTCTCTTTGACAAGTGGGTAGTTGCAACTTGGAGCCAGGCACCTACGTTAAACTCCCACGGAGACAAGGAGATAGGAGCACTGCCTTTCTTGGTGTTTACATTTCAAAGAAATGTCTCCAAGGTCCTCAAGAAAAACACTCCTGGAAACAAGAAAGAGGCTAAATAAGATTTTGTTTTAAGATTTTAAAGATGTACAATTACAAGTTTTCTGAAAGAAATGCTCTAAGGAAAAAAAGTGAATGAAAGTGTGTATCCCTTTTAGCACTAAGAAAGCTTTTGTTTGTTTTGGTTTGTGTTTACCCTTACACCAGTAAGGCCTGTTTAAAGAAGTACCACACATTTATAGTCAGAAAAGAGATGCCGACTAGCTAAACTTGTCAATATCCAAAGGGAAAGGCAAATCCCTTCCCTGTACACACTTTGCATCTCTATGGACAAGCATTATTTGCATTATTATCAATGTTCTGCAAGTTAACTTCTGTCACTACACAGCTGTAAAGTAACCTAGTCCAAGATGATGGTTTACAATCCCGTAATATCAGCTAATCTTTCCATTGAAAAGATACCCAGTAATCTCCTTTGCCCATTGCAAAGACTGCCCTCAATTTTTTTCCTATAGTAGTTGGTTCAGTTTTACTGCTGATGAGTTGCATATATTCTGGATTCAATGAAGTGCTGAACAAGCACTTCATCCAGTTCTGGGTTGCACAATAACTAGAATTAAATATAATTAAAGTTCTTAAATCTCATCAGGATTTTGCTTTAGCTCATGGCTTTGTGAGTGTGATATTTTGCCTCTGCAGTTAAAATGTTGTAGTTGTTAACAAGAGATCATCTTCATATCAAATGTGTTTAAAATAACATCTATGTTGTGGGCAATTAATTTAGTAACTTCTCATTGAAATATTTATAGATTCTACTGTATCTGATTTTCTTGTGCATAAACTATGGCCAAAGGCCAAATACAACCTAATAGAAAACAAAAATAAAACAAATGTGGATGATAGACATGAAAACAGTTATACAAAGATCTGCTTTTATTTGTCAAAAGATATTCTTAAAGAGGGCACTTTTTGCAGTTATAAAAAGAACATGTCAAAGATTTTGTTTAACTCATTAGTTTATGAGAGAATCAGTAAGATGTTACTGCTGCAATGATTTTGTGTATAATGTAAAACTGGCTTATTCCATGGGATGGGGTAGAGGAACCAGGAAGAAGTTCAATTGTATTCCTGCCAGACAAAATTCATTTGCATGTCTATGGACAATAATCATTTGCCTGCTTTCAATTTTCTACAATTCACAGGGTGGTAAAAGAATTCAAAGAAGGGGCCAGGTGTGGTGGCACGCCTGTAATCCCAGCAGTTTGGGAGGCCAAGGCATGCAGATCACGAGGTCAGGAGATTGAGACCATCCTGGCTAACACGGTGAAACCCCATCTCTACTAAAAATACAAAAAAATTAGCCAGGCGTGGTGGCGGGTGCCTGTAGTCCTAGCTACTCAGGAGGCTGAGGCAGGAGAATGGCTTGAACCCGGAAGGCGGAGCTTGCAGTGAACCGAGATGGCACCACTGCACTCCAGCCTGGGTGACAGAGCGAGACTCCATCTCAAAAAACAAAAACAAAAACAAAAAAAAACTCAAGGTAAAAGGCACAGAAACCTGCAGAATCATATAATCCTCCAGATTGTGTTTAGACAATGCCTAGTTTTACATTGAAGACATCCAGAATCTTGGTTGATTTTAAAGAATAATTTATTTCCTTACACTTTATTACTACTTCTGTTTCTGTTTCATACATCACTGAAGGTTAAAAGGGAAAGCTAAAATATTAATGTTAATGTTTAATTTTTAAGAAGTACTACATTTGAAATGGTAATAATATACTAACTTCACATAAATGCATGTTAGGAAGAAAAATAAATGAAGCATAGAGTCATTTTAATAATTTACAGGTTTCCCAGGACTATCAAGTAAAATGTTAACTTTATAGGAAAATTTCTATTAGTCTAAAGTTTATTATGATATATGTAACTTCTGAAATAGTTTCAATCTTGGCCTAATTTTAAACTTCAGTGCAAAGTTAATTTAATAGGCCTCATGAAGCTAATCTTATTTTTAGCCCATTTATTGGCATGTATCTTTGACATATTATCAGGTAAAAGAAAGCACAGAATACCTCTAGTGATTTTAAATACCTTAACATTTAACTTTACCATCAAAGACAATTCATTTTGTTACCAAATTATTTGACAGGATTAATTTCATAATTACTACTAAGAATCATAAAATAATGTGGATGTGAGTGTAAATATATAAAAATATTGCACATATATAAAGTACAACTCCAGTTCTTTCCTAAGCATTTTTTATCAAATATTAAATAATAGCTTTATTTTATTTTATTTTATCTTTTTGAGACAGTGTCTCACTCTGTCACCCACACTGGAGTACAGTGGTGTGATCTCAGCACACTGCAACCTCCACCTCCCAGGTTCAAGTGATTCTTGTGCCTCAGCCTCCGAAGTGACTGGGACTATAGGCTAGTGCCACCATGCCCAGCTAATTTTTTGTTTTTTAGTAGAAATGTGGTTTCACCATGTTAGCCAGGCTGGTCTTGAACTCCCGACCTCAGGTGATCTGCCCGCCTCAGCATCCCAAACTGCTGGGATTACAGGCATGAGCCACCATGCCCAGCGAATAATAACTTTTAAAAGACAGTATAATTATATCTATAATCATAATTTGTTAATTCAGAAACACACGAATATATGTTAAAGATTTTAACTAATCTATGAAGAAACCAGTAAGATGTTACAATCAGTTCGGAGGATAATTCAAAGTACTACACATACAGGCAGATAAGAAATGCCAAAATGAATTACAGACAGATATGAAATGGTTCAGTAAGCAACTGCACCTCGCCAGGCACTAGTCATTTGTATTTCTATGGGTACAAGTCATTTTGCATTACTATCAGTTTTCTACAATTTACAGGGCTGTAAAATAGCTCAGACAGTGAAAGCAGGGTTTACCTTAATTAATAGGTGCAGTAAGCCAGACATCCAGTGATCGTCCATTTCAAATCCTGTCACACCCCATAAGTATGTGCAATTATGTGTCAACTTTTTCTAAAAAAAACTTTTCACAATCATTCTTGACGTATTTTTTATCAACTCACTTTCTTGATTCTTGTAAAATGTTTTTGTTAGATTCAGTAAAGCAAGTAAGTTTTGCATTTGAAGATTAAACCAAACTGTGTTGTTTTTATCCCATTGTAAAGGCTCCTACTGTATATATTTGATAATTAAATTCTAGTTACTTTAAGCAAATTACCAGAATTTGTTACAGTGATTCTTCAGAAAGAGTAATATTTTTATTCATGTGTTATTTTCGTAATAAATGAAATTTTTAAATTAAAGATAGGTGGTTAATTTTTTTTTCAGTGATACATGAACATGTAAATACCACTCTTCTCTGACTTATTCAGTGATCTGAATCAAATTGTTTTCAAGTGTTTACAGAGCTCATAATTTAGAGTTGTCTCTGACTGATTGTATTTCCTCCAGGTGCTGGATTAAACGATGGGCAGTGGCACTCTGTGTCCTTCTCTGCCAAGTGGAGCCATATGAATGTGGTGGTGGACGATGACACAGCTGTTCAGCCCCTGGTGGCTGTGCTCATTGATTCAGGTGACACCTATTATTTTGGAGGTAAGAGAAGGCAACTGAATGACACTGGCAGTGGAACCACTTTTTATCTTTATTGCTTTGCATTTTGAGTCTCTAGTCAAATTTAAACCAAGTTGATACTAAGAAATAATTTATCTCTAGCCATGAAATTAATACCTTTTGAGTTTATAAAAAACATGAAACATTTAATCAGTTTTTCTTCCCAATACAAAAATAAGTATCTGCAGAAAGTTTACTTGCTGTTTAAATAACTTCATATTTTCATTTAACATTAAAAGAAAAATATATTTGAGCTACATGTAGTAAATAAGTGGAAACTTTCAAACAATATCATAGTCATATCTCTACAACAAATAAATCCATTTATACTTCTAACAGTTAGCTCATAAAAACAAAACAAATCGTACTGTCTGAAGTCATTGGCTTACATAAAATATTACTTATATATTTAAGTCTACATCTAAATCTATACTATTGAATCATTATTAGTACACAGCTCAGTTTATAGATAGATGGATAAATATTTTTTACATGGAGAAGGCGTAATAGGAAATATACTGATTATGAAGTACTTTCAAAACATTGACAATGTAAACAAATATTAATTAATAGGAGACAAACATATTAAATGAATCCAGTATAATTGGTGTTACACTGGTGCAAAGTATTGAATGTTTGCTTCCCCACCCCAGATTCATATGTTGAAATCCTGACCCCAAAGTCATGGTGTCAGGAGGCTTTGGAGGGTAATTAAGTCAGGAGGGTGGAGCCCTAATGAATGGAATTAGTGCCCTTATAAAAGAGGCCCAAGAGAACTCCCTTGCCTTTCCTGCCATGTGAAGTTATAAGGCGAACACTGTGGTCTGTGAAGCAGACACTGCATCTGCTTTGCCTCAAACTCAGACTTAGACTTTCCAGCATCCAGACTGAGAGAAATAACTGTTTGTTGTGTAAGCCACTCTGTTCATGGGATTCTGTTAATAGCAGCCCAAACTGACTATGAGAACTCATACAGCTAAAGAAATGGGAACAAGTGGATCTTTTGATTATAAAGGAAGTTTGGATTTTTTTAAATTAAAAGAACCACTAGGAATAACAGCAAAACCCTGCTATGTATTCTAGAATGCTCCTGTGAATCCAAAGATTAAGCTTTTATATCTGGAAACCACAGTTAAGAGAAACAATCATGTGAGAAAACTTATCACTTGGGGGCATGGATGCCTGTACATTACAACATTCTGTTATCATCCCATATCACCACATATATGATAAGAAAACTCACTCTCGAGTAAGAAAGTTTTCAACTAGGTATGAAATTCCATGCTGGACACAGATACAGAGAGCCACTTGCACTGTACCTAAACACTGAAGTGTTACTGAGGTAACTTAATTACTTGTAATTCTTACTGGAAAGGTAAATATATTCAGCCTTTCTTAGTAATAAAAATTGTATGTAAACAGAAGTATAGATCTAGTAATAGAGACTTGTTATATACATGCAGTCCTGTACATTGCATTTTACCTCATCAGTATTTGTGGTATTTCGCAAAGAATATATACTTTTCCAAATATACAGCCACAGACATTCAAAGACTTCACTGAGCTGTCCTCTGGCACACAGGTGTATTTAAATTGTTAAAGAAAATTAAAATGGCCTGAGGTATCTCTGACCAGACAAAGCCTTTTAAGTGGCGTTAACTTTGCTTGATTTACCAATATAAGCAAAACTTGAGCTATTTCTTGTAAATGTCTTTAAAAATAAAAAAAGTCAAACTTAAGGCTAACCAATCAGAAGCCAATTAACTTATATAACTAGAGACTTTCCAGCAGGATCAACCAAATAAGGCAATTGTATAAGTACAACCAGTGAAAAATTTGCTACTATATTTACCTTACAGAAGCTGTCCCTTTTTGTTCCCTTGAAAGGGTCCCTGAACCAGTTCCCATTTGAAGCTGCTTCAACAGTGATTCATGAATCACTGTTAGCTCAAATAAACTTTTGTGCCTCCATTTACCTTTTATTAATGGATACATTTATATCTGTAGTTGGATGCTTTTTTCCTCTAAGCAGACACAAAGTAAAACTGAAGAGCTTAAGATTTTTATTTATTTATTTATTTTTATTTTTTGAGGCGGAGTCTCGCTGTGTCCCCCAGCCTGGAGTGCAGTGGCGCGATCTCGGCTCACTGCAAGCTCTGCCCCCCCGGTTCACGCCATTCTCCTGCCTCAGCCTCCTGAGTAGCTGGGACTACAGGCACCCACCATCACATCTAGCTAATTTTTTGTATTTTTAGTAGAGACGGGGTTTTCACCATGTTTGCCAGGATGGTCTCGATCTCCTGACCTTGTGATTTGACTGCCTCGGCCTCCCAAAGTTCTGGGATTACAGACATGAGCCACTGTGCCAGGCCAAGATTTTTAAAATTAGTTAATGCCTTCGTGTATCTTGAGTGGATGATAACATAGGAGTCCTCAGAAAAATGCAGACATGCCCGCCAACCTTTTCAGAAGAGCGAAGTTGGCTTAAGGAATCATCATCGGTCCAAGATTGTTAGTGATCTGAGAAATTTCATGTGCTGAGGATGATGCCAAATTAAGGGTTTCCAAGTATGAGTACCAGGATACCTCCTATACCTGCTGTCAGCCATATGTGGTATCGACAATTGCCTCTAACAAAATTTTTCCAAACCAAGTAGAAAAAAACAGTAAACAGAACAGAGATTTTTTTTTTATTAGGATGGGACTGAAATCTGTCCCTCCTTCAGGATGAGGGCTGTAATCTGTGTGACAGAAACAGATGACAGAGTTTGATCCACACTACTTTGTTTTCAGAGCTGCTAGCCCAGATGGAATAGGTCCAGAAAGAAACTAATGAAATAAGCAATAGAAAATCTCAAACATTATAGTCTTTGACAATGTATATTCATATATAATTCCCATTTCCTTCAGAAAATACGTGTTGCTTCTCTTTTTTTTTTAAACTTATTTTAGGTTCAGAGGTATACATGTGCAGGTTTGTTATATAGGTAAATTGCATGTAATGGGGGCTTGGGGTACAGATTATTCCATCACCCAGGTAATGAGCATAGTACCTAGTAGGTAGTTTTTCGATCTTCACCCTCCTCCTACCCTCCATCCTCAAGTAGGCTGTGGTGTCTATTGTTCCCTTCTTTGTGTCCATGGGTACTCAATACTAAGCTCCCACTCCTAAGTCAGAATACATGGTATTTGGTTTTCTGTTCCTGTGTTAGTTCACTTTGGATAATGGCCTCCAGCTCCATCCATGTTGCTAGAAATGACATTATCTCATCTTTTTTTATGACTACATAGTATTCCATGGTATATATGTACATTTTCTTTACGCTACTGTTGATGGGTATTTAGGTTGATTCTATGTCATTGCTATTGTGAATGAACATGCACGTCTGTGTGTCTTTATGGTAGAAGGATTATTATTCCTTTGGGTGTGTACTCAATGGGGTTGCTGGGTTGAGTGGCAGCTCTGCTTTAAGTTCTTTGAGAAATCACGAAACTGCTTGCTGCAATGGCTGAACTAATGTATAATTCCCCCAGCAGTGTATAAGCACTCCCTTTTCTCCACAGCTTTACCAGCACCTGTTATTTTTCGCCTTTTAAATAATAGCAATTCTGACTGGCGTGAGATGGTATCTCATTGTGGTTTCGATTTGCATTTATCTCATGACTAGTGATGCCGAGGAGTTTTTCATATGCTTGTTGGCCACATGTATGTCTTCTTTTGAAAAGTGTCTGTTCATGTCCTTTGCCCGTTTTTTAATGGGGTACGTTTTTTTTCTTTCTTGTTAAGTTCCTTATAGATTCCAGACATTAGACCTTTGTCAGATGCATAATTTGTGAATATTTTCTTCCAGTAGGTTGTCTGTTTACTCTGTGGATAGTTTCTTTTGCTGTGCAGAAACCCTTTAGTTTAATTAGGTCCCATTTGTCAACTTTTGTTTTTGTTGCAATGTTTTCGGTGTCGTTGTCATGAAATTTTTGCCATGTCCTGTGTCCAAAATGGCATTTCCTATATTTCCTAGGTTATCTTCCAGGATTTTTGTAGTTATAGGCTTTACTTTTTTTTTTTTTTTTGAGACTTTAGAGTCAGTCTCACCTGTTGCCCAGGCTGGAGTGCAATGACACGATACAGCCTCAACCTCCCAGGCTTTAAGAGGTTCCCCCACCTCAGCCTCCTGATTAGCCTGGACTACAGGCACGTGCCACCACATCCAGCTAATTTATTATTATTATTATTATTATTATTGTTTGTAGAGACGAGGTCTCGCTATGTTGCCCAGGCTTGTCTCAAACTCCAAGGCTCAAGCTATCCTCCCACCTCACCCTCCCAAAGTGTTGGGATTATAGGCGTGAGCCACTGCACCTGACACGTTTTACATTTTATTCTTTAATCCATCTTGAGTTGATTTTTGTATATGGTGTAAGGAAGGGGTCTAGGAACTGCTTATGGTTAGCCAGTTATCCCAGCACCATTTATTGAATAGGGAGTCCTTTCCCTACTGCATGTTTTTGTCGACTTTGTTGAAGATCAAATGGTTTTAAGTGTGTGACATTATTTCTGGGCGCTCTATTCTGTTCCATTGGTCTGTGTGTCTGTTTTTGTACCAGTACTATGCTATTTTGGTTACTATAGCCTTGTAGTAGAGGTTGAAGTTGGCTAACGAAATGCCTCCAGATTTGTTCTTTTTGCCTTGGATTCCCTTGGCTATTCAGGCTCTTTTTTGGTTCTATATTAATTTTAAAATAGTTTTTACTGGTTCTTTGAAGAATGCCATTGGTGATTTGATAGGAATAGCATTGAATCTATAAATTGCTTTGGGCAGTATGGTCCAATATGGTTAAAAACCATATTTATTATTCCTATCCGTGATTATGGAATGTTTTTCCATTTGTATGTCATCTATGATTTCTTTGAGCAGTGTTTTGTAATTCTTCTTGTAGAGATCATTCACCTCCCTGGTTAGCTGTATTCCTAGGTAGTTTATTCTTTTTGTGGTCATTGCGAATAGGATTGCATTCTTGATTTGGCTCTCAGCCTGCATGTTGTTGGTATATAGGAATGCTACTAATTTTTGTACATTAATTTTGTATCCTGAAACTTTGCTGAGATTATCAGATCGAGAAGCTTTTGGGCAGAGACGATGGGGTTTTGTAGGTACAGAATCATATCATCTGCAAACAGAGACAGTTTGACCTCTTTTTCTCCTATTTAGATGCCTTTTATTTCTCTCTCTTGCCTGATTGCTCGGGCGAGGACATCCAGTACTATGTTGGGTAGGAATAATGAGAGAGGGTATCCCTGTCTTGTCCCAGTTTTCAAGGGGAATGCTTCACATCTTTTGCCCATTCAGTATGATGCTGGCTGTGGGTTTGTCATAGGTGGCTCTTACTATGTTGAAGTATGTCCTCCAATGCCTCATTTGTTGAGGGTTTTTAACATGAAGGGATGTTGAGAAAATACCTGATGCTTCTCTAGAGACAAATATATGAAAGCAAACAACATTTCATGAAGGAATGAGGAATATTTTGTGGCAGCAAGAATGAGAATGACTCTCCAAGATGCCCTGGAAACTGAATATGTTACATCACATAAGGGATTTTGCAGATGTAATTAAGGTTGCAGACCTTAGGAGACGATCGTGATTCATGCAGTGGGCTCCATGTAATCACATGAGCACTTAAGAGATTTAACTCTGGTTGGAGGCAGAAGAGACACAGAAGAGAGGTGTGGGTGAGGGGAAGCCAGAGAAACTAGAAGCAGGAGAATGTCTCTCTGCACCATTGCTGGTTTAGAAAATGAACTGGGCACTATGAAGAGCAATGCAGGCAGCCTGACATTGCTGAGAGGCCCCAACTACCAGCCAGTGATGAATTGGGACCTCACTCCTACAACTACAAGAAGTTGAATTCTGCTCTAACCTGTATGTGCTTGGACACACATTCTGCCCTAGGGCCTTCATAAGGAGCCCAAGAGCACCTTGATTTTGTCCTTGTAAGACTATAAGCAGAGTCATCAGTCCAGCCCTCCCACACTTCTAAAGTGAGAGATAATAAAGAGAATATTTTAGTGATTTGTTACAGTGATGATTAAAAGCTGATACACATTCCAACCTCCATCAGATCCATTTACAGACATTCCCATTCAGTTCTAAACCCTTGGACAATGGCCAAAAAAAAAAAAAGCTTTCCTCAAACACACCCTGAGAATATACTGAAAAAGATTACATATATATATATATATATATATATATATATATATATATATATATATATATATATATCTATCTATCTATCTATCTCCAGGCGTGGTGGCCCACGCCTGTAATCCCAGCACTCTGGGAGGCTGAGGCCGGCGGATCACCTGAGATCAGGAGTTGAAGACGAGCCTGGCTAACATGGTGAAACCCTGTATCTACAAAAATACACACACAAAAAAAATTTAGCCGGGCATGATGGCAGGTGCCTGTAATCCCAGCTACTTGGGAGGCTGAGGCAGGATAATCACTGGAAAAAAAAATATATATATATATAAAATGTTTTTTAAAAATATATATATATATAATATTTTTAAAATATATATATATGACCAAAGAGAATAGTTTCAACAGAAAGTCAAAATAGCCAACACAGTTTCTGTGTTTTATTTTGTTTGGATTGTGTATGGCCTTCGAGTGAAGTAACATACATGATAATGAACCATATAGGGACACAGTGACAGAAATGGGAAGGCTGATCCATGATCATATATGCATACATAGGTACACTATGGATTCCAAAGTCCCCTTTGACCTGAAAGTGTGAGAAGAGCCCATAACCCATTTGAAACAGATATGCAGCAACCACAACCCAAATTGTATATGCATAAGTAAAGTTGTCCTTATTTCAGAGATGATATTATGGATTGAATTGTTTTCCCTCAAATTCATATGAACTCCAGAATGTGACCTTGTTTGGAGATAAGATCTTTGCAGAGGTAATCAAGTTAAAATGAGGTCATTAAGGTGAGCTCCAATCCAATATGACCAGTGTCCTTATGAAAAATGGAAATGGAGGTGCAGAGACACACAGAGAGGGAAGACGCTGGGACAACATGCAGGAACAACGCCTCAGGAAGACAGAGGCCTAAAGTGTTACACCTGCAAGGCCAGAGCTGTTTACTGGGTTCCTCCCTGACGCCACCTCCCACCTGGGGCTGAACCTGACCCAGACCTTACCACCCACTGCTGCTACACTGCCATAAATCCCTTTTTTAAAAAAATTAAAATATTTATTTGACAAATAAAAATTCTGTATATTTAAGGTATACTATGTGACGATTTGATATAGGTATTCACTGCGTTCTGATTACCACAGTCAAGTTGATTAACACATCCATCACATCACACATAGTTACCATGTTGATGGCAGAGGGGAGTGAAGTCATTACAAATCTGCTCTCTTACCAAATTCCAGGTAAATAACACAGTATCATTATGTATCACCATGCTGGATCATCATGCTGGATCCCTTTTGTTTCATGGGGTTGTATCACCATGAAACAGTATCACCATGCTGGATCCCTTTTGTTTCATGGGGTTGTTGAAAAAAGACTACAAATTAAGGACTGAAATGCATGTCTTCCAGATAGGCCTAAATAAAAGATCACACTCAGGAACCGATTTTAAATAGACCACCCTTTATGGAGCTTCCCTTCATCATTCTGCCCAACGGAATTGTAACAGTGCGAAATGAGTGCCGTTACCTTTTCCACTGCTTTATGTGCTGGTTTTATTGCACCATACAGGTATCCCCAGAGACTCGGCTCCTCTGGAGCATCTTATTGATTTCCCACTGCGGCATGAAGAAAGGCCATGCTTTGCCCAAAGTGCCTAATAGTTTTACTCAGTCGGTTATTTCAACTTATTTTTATTGCCCAGTAATGATGCAGTGAAACATTTTACCAAGTCAGGGAGCGCATCAGCCTTTCCTAGACAATAATAAACAGAATATTTGCCAGCTCAGTCAATGATTGAGTACAGCCAAGAGACACTGCAGCCTAAGAGAGGGCAGTCAGAGTGGGGAGGTCACAGAAGGGTGCAATAAATCTTCTCCCCAGGGATGTTTACTCAGAAAGTCCTTGGTCATTAGAAATGTCATTTAACTCTGTAAATAATAAGATACATTTGCTAATCAATGCTTGAGGTGCTTCTTGAGAGTATTAGTATAGTTTTGCATTTTACTATTTTTTTTTCCAGAATCCTTTTAAAATTATGTTGGAGACAGCACAATATGAAAGTAAAATTCGGCCAGGCACAGTGGCTCACGCCTGTAATCCCAGCACTTTGGGAGGCCTAGGCGGGTGGATCACAAGGTCAAGAGATTGAGACCATCGTGGCTAACATGGTGAAACCCCGTCTCTACTAAAAATACAAAAAAAAAAAATTAGCTGGGCATGGTGGTGGGCGCCTGTAGTCCCAGCTTCTCAGGAGGCTGAGGCAAGAGAATGGCATGAACCTGGGAGGCAGAGCTTATACAGTGAGCTGAGACTGCGCCACTGCACTCCAGCCTGGGTGACAAAGTGAGACTCCGTCTCAAAAAAAAAAGTAAAATTCATCCCTAAAATTGGCTGTCAGCATGGAAATTATAAAACTCATTTTCTAAACTCTAACAGTCCTTCAGAGCAAACTTTCCACAGAGCAACTGTGAAAACAGACAATGTCAATCTGCAAAGTTTCTGATTGTTTTCTTTCCTCATATTCCGAGGTGTGCATATGTGCCTCAAATTGTATTAAAACATTTGCTATAGATGACAGATTTTATAACAAAAAACAAGCCAATATATCCAAGACCTATCATTTCAAAAGTAAAATATTTAGGAAGCACTAAAAGGGATAAGAATGAAAGTACTATTCATTTTTTTAAGTGATACTAAATAAAGTTGATTACAGAAAATGATTTGTCAAAGTATAAATATAGTATCACCTTTAGGGTTTAAATTCTACAGGTGAGATTTTATAACGTCCTGTTATTCAAGAGCCCATTTCCATAAATATATACATGCTAATGTGAGAAATGTTTTTGTGTTATTTTTATGCATATCATAATTTTATTCATTTTTACTGTGAAATAGATCATATATGTACAGTTAAAAATATTGCTAATTTTTCAAAAGAATGTATATATTGTTACATGAATATACCACATTTTATCAGTTCTACTGTCCCATTTTGCTATTGTTAGGCAATTTTCATTTTTGCTTTTAGATTTGCTTTATAAAATTTAGGGGGGTGGTGTTTCGTTGTTTTGCTTTTTTTTAGACAGGGAGTCACTCTGTTGCCCAGGCTGGAGTGCAATGAAGCAATCACAGCTCACTGCAGCTTCTGCCTCTCCAAGCTCAAGCACTTCTTCCACCTCAGCCTCTGGAGTAGCTGGGACTGCAGGCCTGCACCACCACACCCAGCTAATTTTTGTTGTTGTTGTTTTTCTTCGTATTTTGTAGAGACAGAGTTTTGCCATGTTGTTCAGGTTGGTCTGAGGTGATCCACCCACCTCAGCCTCCCAAAGTGCCAGGATTACAGGCATGAGCCACCATGCCCAGCCTAAAATTTAGTTTTTAAAATATTCTTAACATACCTAGTTTTTCCAGTGAATTTTGCATTCCTTGTGTGTGTTTTTGTAACTTTATTTACCCATCTGTATAGTAAACTTCGGGAAACACCAGCTCTAACCACCATGTTTAACAGCATAAGCTGGTTGTTAAATTTTACTGATGTATGTAAACCCAAAATAGATCATTTCTTCACATAGAAACAGCCTTTGGTTCCGCTAGTATTCATTACTCGTTTTAGTAATTTAAAGACCACATGACCCAAATTCTTCTTGAATGCTGTGCAGTGCACTGAAAGAGACTAATAAGCCCTTTTCTGTTTTCTAAGCAAATTTACTTCTTGGGATATTTCTGTTCATATGGTTTCCTATGACACATAGCATCACTAAGAGTCAAATAAGTGAAACTGAAAACATTAAAATTAATCCTGTAATCCAGTTTTAATAATGAGTTTGTTTCATTATGTTTCTTTTTCCTTTCCATTTGTTTTATACTGGCCTGAAGAAAACAGGCTTGATGGATAAAATCCACAGTATTTTCTTCCTAACTAGCTTATATATTTAGAATGGCCTGAATATGTACAGCTGCAGACACTAACTTCATTCCTACAGTATAATATCTACCAATGATTGAAACTAGTCAGCTGCACATTTTATTTATTTATTAAAAAGGATTTGGATTTTTATACAATATTTAAAAACCACAAAATGAAAAGGGATCAATCAACGTATACCTTGGAGGTCCTTCCAAGAGTCTCAGTATCTAACAGCCATGGAGGCTGTGAGCTTTTTCCTTCTTTTCTCAGCCTGCTGGTCATTTAAGGGTCACCAGAGATGACTCATGCTCTAGTTCTTAAAATCAAACTTGTTCCACCAAATCCAAGATGCTGAATTTGTACAAATGTAAAAACATCCTCTTGCCACCTGTCCACCAAAATACCTTCTATTCAAGTGAACAACAGCTTTAATTGCTGACTCAACTCTCAAATTCTAAAAAGGTCTGTACTGCTTCATCATCAGGGACACCAAGAATTTCACATATCACACGTTTTCCAACTTTGCCATATTTTTCATGGCAAAATTGGGAAATACCATGGACTTTATCCATCAAGCCTGTTTTCTCTGAGCCAATATAAATTGACAATGGAAAAGAAAAAGAAACATAATAGAATGAACTCATTATGAAAACTAGATTAACTATACTCTTTTCAGTTTCACTTATTTTATCCTTAATGATGCTATGTCTCATAGGAAACCATATCAACTGAAAAATATGTCATCACACATTCTTCTCTGGTTTCAACTTCCAAGTCTTCTTCCACCTCCCCTTCGCCAACCATGTTCCTTAGTAGGACCACCTTAGTAGGACTCAAGTATTTCAGTCAGTGGATTTGTACCTGATCCTTCAATGCATCTTTCTCTGCGGTGTCGCCCACGATGATCTTGCCGCCTGATCTGCTAGTCTTCCCCACCGGAAAGGCATCTCGCGGCCCCTGCAGGTGCTCCCCGAGGCCCCGGCCTTCCCGGAAGCCGCGCTTCTGCATGATGTTGTGCGCCACCGTTCCCACCACGTTAGCGAGGAAGGAGCTGCTAGGCCGGTTTGGAGATCTCAGTCTGTCCTGTTCCTCCTTCACTGGGGGAGGAATGGCTGCTTTGGAAGACCATGACTGAGGTCTTGAATCCTCTTCATAAGGAAAATCTCGGGGTGACTCTTGGTCTTTCTCTACCAGAGAAGTGGGAAGGGCAATGGCAGCTCCACCCTACTACTTTTCCTCCTCTCTCCCTCCTAATCTTCCCCTTCATCAGAATCTGGATTTGGTCGCCTTGATCAGAACTCCCCTAACTTCTTGCCTGTCTTCAGGCCTCTTTTCCCTTTCTTCTATTTCCTTTCATATTTCTAGCTCCTGCTGTGTCTGTCGTTCCTCTCTCTGGCACTTCACTACTTTCTCATAATCATAAGGGAACATAGGATCATATTCGTCAGCTAAGGGAATCAGAATGTCCCCTGCAAAAATCCACTGGGAGCAGGATCCTTCAGCCCAGCTGCTGCATGCCGTGGTGTGTCCCCAATTTGCAGGTCATCTGAGGAGCCGCCTGGCCTTAGGTCAATGACTGGCAAGAGCTGCACTGTTTCTAACTTTGGCTCTTTCCCTGAGTGAGAGCTGCCTTCCTCACCTGAAGCTGAGACTGCAGAAGTTTGATGTTTTGGAACCAGCCTTCTGCTTTTGAGTCACTGGTCTCCACTCTCAGGCCATCGTATGGGGGCATCTTTTTTTTTTTTCTATTTAATGTTGCCCTGCTGACTCTACCCATGGGTAGCCAGGTTAATATGAAGAAATGAAGAAGAAGAAAAACCCACCAATTTCCTGATGCCAGATAAATGGAAAATGTTATTTGCACCAAAGAAACCTTGAGAGACTTGGAACAATCACTGGTGGTTGTGGATTTCTGGATCTCCTAGATTTATTTTAATAGAAAGTTTAGGCCAGACGCGGTGGCTCTCACCTGTAATCCCAGCACTTTGAGAGGCTGAGGCGGGTGGATCATCTGAGGTTAGTAATTCAAGACCAGCCTGGCCAACATGGTGCAACCTTGTCTCTACTAAAAATACAAAGATTAGCTGGGCATGGTGGCGGGAGCCTGTAGTCCCAGCTACTGGGTAGGCTGAGGCAGGAGAATTGCTTGAACCTGGAAGGCAAAGGTTGCAGTGAACCGAGATGGTGCCACTGCACTCCAGCCTGGCAACAGAGTGAGACTCTGTCAAGAAAGAGAGAGAGAGAGAAAGAAAGAGAAAGTCTAATTCGCAGATGCAGACTTACCTTCTGTACTGTCATTTGTCCATTCTTTTTTTTCTGGTCTGTGATTTCATCTTTTTGAAGTGTTTTTCAAGCAGCACTCTGTACGGTTGCAGGTTGTGCATATAGCCTGCATTTTTTTGCATTCATGCCTGAAATAGAGATTGACTGAAGGTCAAATTCTTTTAAACTTACCTTTATGGAATCTTTCTGCTATTCAATGCCATGCCTCCTTCCATGATATTGAGAATACAAAATTGACTGTTGTGTCGCCAGTCCTCACATCCTTCTTGTAGGAAGCTGCTAGACTGAGAACTTGTGGCAACATTGCATTGAAGTCTGTCACTGCAATAACACACAGTGACAATTTTCTTGCCAACCTCATATGCTTACACAAGTTAAAATAACCGGGCTAAAATTTTCATGGGTCTTAATATCTTTATTTGTTTGATTTCATATCCATGCAGTACTTTATGATTAGAATTTGTCCTGAAAGTTTCATAACTTTTTGCGGGACACCTGGATTTTAGTTTTTTTTTCTAACAGAGTTATTGAATTCATTTTCTTTTAAGAATAACCTGGCTGGGCGCTGTGGCTTACACCTGTAATCCCAGCACTTTGGGAGGCCGAGGCAGGTGGATCACGAGGTCAGGAGATCAAGACCATCCTGGCTAATATGGTGAAACCCCGTCTCTACTGAAAAAAAATACAAAAAAAAAAAATTAGCAGGGTGTGGTGGCGCGTGCCTGTAGTCCCAGCCACTCGGGAGGCTGAGGCAGGAGAATGCTGTGAACCTGGGTGGTGGAGCTTGCAGTGAGCAGAGATCACACCACTGCACTGCAGCCTAGGCAACAGCACGAGACTCAGGTCTCAAAAAAAAAAGATAACCTAAGTTATGTGTCAGGAAACACCACATGGTGAAAGAAAGATTAGCAGAACTGTTGATATTCCTATAATTCATTACTGGAAAATATTTATTGAATTAATAATCCTCTTAATTCTTAACTTAATGTGTTTATTTCTTAATGATTAGTGAGATGCAGTAGAATTATACAAAGTTCACTCTCTATCCCATTCTTCAGAAGGTTCTGCTGTACCATTTAAACTTATATTTCTTTTGTAAATATAAAAATATAAAAGATTTTAGTCTTCAAACTTTTAAACAAATATGGTGTTAAATGTTAAACTTCCAAGTGTCTGTGAGGTTATGTATAGTTTCGATAAGCTAAAAAGAAGCCTTAAATATGAGGGAGGCTTTTACTTTAGAAATCTAAAGCAGAAAATATTAAAGTTAAAGAGATAAAGCTTCAGTTATTAAAATAGAAATCTAAACACAACATTTAATTTTTATGGAACTTTCAGGGAGGAAATAAGAGTACAGGCATTGAGGGGTGCTTCATTTATTCCAGTAAGAGGAATCTTCATTGACTATTTTTTGAAATTGTGCTAGTGATTAACAGTATAAGGTCAAAGAGAGGTCAATGAAAAACACATAAGTACAAATTCTATACTTCATTTTTTTCATTTTAATGAACACTGTAAAGAAAACTCAATCCTCTAGTGATAAATATTGATGTATATTTACTATAATCTTTGGAGAAAAGGGTATTTGCGTGGACTCAGTGTCATGCCAATATTAGGTTTAATACCTAATATTTGAATGATTGGGAAAAGAAAGTAAGAAATTATATCTCACAAGTTTGAAAGAGACAATACTTACAGAATCAATATAAGCAGGCTTCTTTTTTAAAATAAGGCAAAGGATAAAATTTTTAAAAGCTATATAATTTCATAATATACAATTTAATTATTCAATTTCTCTTGTCATTGGCATTACACCATTATGAAATGAGGTGCCTCTTTCATATTTGTATGTTAAAATTAAGTATTCATTTAGATCAGAGGTAGACAAATCACGGTCTATGGCATATTATATAAGCCGAAATGAATAATTGCTTTGTATTTTTATTTATTTATTTTTTTTTATTTGAGAAGAAGTCTCGCTCTGTTGCCCAGGCTGGAGTGCAGTGGCGCCATCTCGGCTCACTGCAAGCTCCGCCTGCTGGGTTCACGCCATTCTCCTGCCTCAGTTTCCCGAGTAACTGGGACTACAGGCACCCACCACCACGCCCAGCTAATTTTTTTTTGTATTTTTAGTAGAGACGGGGTTTCACCGAATTAGCCAGGATGGTCTCGATCTCCTGACATCATGATCCGCCCGCCTTGGCCTCCCAAAGTGCTGGGTTTACAGGCATGAGCCACCGCGCCCAGCCCTGCTTTGTATTTTTAAAGGGTTATAACAAGAAGGACATGCAACAGAAACCAGGTGTGACCCACAAAACCAAAAGTGTTTACTATCTGCGTTTTACAGAAAACCTTTGCAGACTCCTGACTTAGACAAATGCCTTATGATTTTATTCTGAATTAATATGACTCTTTCTACAAACAGTTGTCTTTAAATAAAAAGATTTTACAGTTATTGTGTTTTCTTTAACTAGAGTGTGTACTTTCATCCTTTTCCTTACTTTTCAAACTTAGAGTTCCATTATTAGGTTATATATTGTAACTCAAGAGGGTGGGAGTAAGTTCAAGACACTACTTTCCTATATGCTTGGACTGGTGTGGAGTAATACTGCTTACGTCAAAGTCAGGCACTCACCACTGCTTCTTATAAGTACTGTTCTTGTTTCACAAAACAAGCCCACATAGTAAAGGGAAGTGATGTCATAAGCATTGCCATTTGTAATTTAGGTGAAATTAGCTGACGGTTGTAGTGAAACTTTTAATATTTAACTTCTAATATTGGAAATAATCAAATGTCTATTTTATCTCTTTCTATTCATAGAACATTCTGGACTGCAAATTTTTATCCTTATGTACCCTAACAGTGTGTTAGGTCCTGTTACTTTTTGTGTTGTTGTTAACATTAGAATTTAATCTTTAGTTATATATTTGACTAAAGTACCTAATACCAAAGAAAGTGTTACTAGAAAAGCAAATCTAGGTATTTCCACCCAGTCAGTATAAAAAAATACGTTTTTAAATACTCCCAAATATACATACATCGCAACACACAAAAACACCTATAGGGTAGATATTTAACATATTTTAGATAAATGGTAGTACACAATTATATTTTCAGGTAGCATTTTTCACATTTCACAGCATATCCTAAATAAAATTTGGCCTATGATTTCATTTATTTTAATTTAACCTCCACTTTAATTTTTTTCACTTACACTACATAATGCTAAAATGCATGATTATTTCTTAGATGAGATTTCACAAAAGAAGCCAAACCTCTTTTCACTTGGTTGGGAAATAATTCCTGTTATAGGAATTTTAGATCTGAATTTTCCCCCATAATTTCTTATTCTGAATTCCAGGTATTATCTTAAATTTGATCAGTTCTAACCTTGCCCTTTCTCACCTCTCTAATGAATGGTGAAGCTCATTGCATCATACCGATGTCCATAAACAAGCGGGAGCAGCAGTCTTCATATAGTAAATACTGTGGAATAGTTTTGTCATAGTTGTTGCTTTTGTCCTATTTTTGTCTTCATATTTAGGCTGCCTGGACAACAGCTCTGGCTCTGGATGTAAAAGCCCCCTGGGAGGGTTTCAGGGCTGCCTAAGGCTCATCACCATTGGTGACAAAGCGGTGGATCCCATCTTAGTACAGCAGGGGGCGCTGGGGAGTTTCAGGGACCTCCAGATAGACTCCTGCGGCATCACAGACAGGTAAGGGCCATCCTAGGTCACTTTAGCTTGCCTGTTTTCAAAGTTGAAGAAAGCAAATGTAGAGAGCTGGAAAAAGGCATTCCGTTCTCTTTTTTGTTGTTGTTATCTTTCGAGAGGGAATGAAATAGTCATAATTACTATGAGGATTAGAAAACTTCATCTTGGCCGGGCGCGGTGGCTCACACCTGTAATGCGGCTGAGGCGGGCGGATCACGAGATCAGGAGATCAACTTCATCCTGGCTAACATGGTGAAACCCCGTCTCTACTAAAAATACAAAAAAAAAAAAAATTAGCCAGGCGTGGTGGCGGCCACCTGTAGTCCCAGCTACTGGGGAGGCTGAGGCAGGAGAATGGCGTGAACCCGGGAGGTGGAGCTTGCAGTGAGCAGAGATCGCGCCACTGCACTCCAGCCTGGGCGACAGAGCGAGACTGCGTCTCAAAAAAAAAAACAAAAACAAAAACTGCATCTCTAATGGAATAAATAGCATTTTTTAAATGATAGTATTTTATTAGAAGACATACACCTTATGAATTTTACCTTAATATGATCCCAAGTTGCTCAGCTAATAGTTATCAAGCTCGCTTTTGCAACCACACACCCATCAGTTGGATGATGTTTTTCCAGGCAGAGGAATTTGCCAGGTTACTATTCATCAGCCACCCAACCCCACATGTTCTGCAGAGAAAATAAAAAGTAATTTCTGCTAGAAAAGTTTGAATCATAAAGATGGATGAAGATGTGTGCAGAAGGACATAATGAAATATGGAGGTTAGACAAGAAAAACATTTAATTCAAATAAGTATTACAACCACAGTTATGCTAGCTGTGCCATAATTTTACAAAGATTTTGGCTGAGAAGAATCATAGGGTCACACCTGGAAAAATAATATTTCTACATACAGTTTGCCCTAGTACATTTGGTATTTACTTTCAGTGAATAAATAAATGCTACAGATTTAAAAATTAAAAAGTGATAATCTGGCCGGGCGCCGTGGCTCACGCCTGTAATCCCAGCTCTTTGGGAGGCCGAGGCGAGCGGATCACGAGGTCAGGAGATCGAGACCATCCTGGCTAACATGGTGAAACCCCGTCTCTACTAAAAATGCAAAAAATTAGCCAGGCATGGTGGCGGGCGCCTGTAGTTCCAGCTACTCGGCAGGCTGAGGCAGGAGAATGGCGTGAACCGTGGAGGCGGAGCTTGCAGTGAATGAGATCGTGCCACTGCACTCCAGCCTGGGTGACAGAGCCAGACTCTTCTCAAAAAAAAAAAAAAAAAGTTATATCTGCATCTGGTAGAACTTTCAAAACCTGCCTTCTTCATGGAGTAAATTCAGTTAGTCAATTCTGTTTTAAACATTAACTGTAAAATTATCCTCTCTGGCTAAACAGGTTTTAATTTATAACTCATAGTTAGTGACATACTAAAAAAACGTAATTACTACTAAATGAAAAGTTCATTCATATGGACTGTATTTATTCAGCATGGAATAATTTCCCCCTGTGAACATTCTGTTGATTTGTAGGAAAAATGAATTAATTCAAAGATGAGGAGTATATGAAGTGCAAGAATTTGTCAAGTACCTCTCATTCTTGACCTTGAGATTTGAATTCTTGGCACACAGCTGGGACTGCATTTACATCTCAACACCAGCTCCAGAACCCCACTCTGTAGTCGTGGGAAGGGTAGTTGGGAAGGTTTCTGGCCATTTGCTCACTTAATATAATCCCAAGTTGCTCAGCTAACTAGCCAGGGAGCTCAGCTCTCTCTGAGTTAAGGGGTAATGTCCCATGGGCCCACACTGTGAGTGACAAGAGCTGTCAGCTCAACTGTGATGCAAGTGTGATTTTCTTCACTTGTATGACATTATTTTGATACCTTGTTAATTACTCACAAAATATGATCCATTTGCAGTGTTTCTGTTATGAGATATATATCGTGAGGCTGCCTCTTTTCAGAGATGATCCATGTTGCCTGCTTTGTGCATGTAGCTCCTAAAGTACAAAACCATTGTTTTTACTGTTATAGGCTGTTTTGTTTTAACCTTAAAGTCCCAAGAGTTACATTGGTGCCTAACTTGGTCTCTAAGATCCCACATTTTAAAAAGGCCTCCAAATTGTACCCCAAAGTTACTTGTAAACATGCTCAACTAAGCATGTATGTGTGAGCCACACTTAAACTTCAGTCATGATGTGTACAATAATCATTGCAGATAAGGGTTTTAAGAAAGCACTTTTAAATTATTTTCAAATAGGGCTACAAATAAAGGCTATTTACTATTTCATTCCCAAAGTCAGTAACGTAGAAGACTAGCTCCTCTGAGATTATTTTGAAAACCTGAATTTTATAAAGCAATAAAATTAGAAAACTTTGGGGACACAAAATGACATTCTACAGAGTTAAAATTAAATACCTTTGCTGTTCCCTTTACATTAAGTTTTGAAAACCTGAAAATACTGAAAATTCACTTTTAAGTATCCTGAAAACAGGCCTGTAAGCATCTGTCAGCCTTTCTTTGTTGTTGTTAACAAACAAACAAACAAAAATCTAATTGTATTAGTCTGTTCTCATGCTGCTAATAAAGATATACCCAAGACTGGGTAATTTATAAAGAAAAAGGCTTAATGGATTCACAGTTCCACATGGCTGGGGAGGCCTCACAATGATAGCAGAAGGTGAAGGAGAATCAAGACACGTCTTACATGGCAGCATGCAAGAGAACCTGTGCAGGGAAACTCCCCTTTATAAAACCATCAGCTCTTGTGAGACTTATTCACTATCATGAGAACAGCATGAGAAAGATCTGCCCACATGATTCAGTTACCTCCCACAGGTTCCCTCCCATGACACGGTGGGAATTATGAGAACTACAATTCAAGATGAGATTTGGGTGGGGACACAGCCAAACCGTATCACTAATTCACAAAGTAGAAACATATGTTACTCAAATACCAGACCTAAAAATCCTACTTAGGGACAGATAAGGGGTATGAAGTTATCTTTTTTAGTCAAAATTTTAAGCTACACAAAAAATAGCAATGGGCACTTTGGATGAGAGTCACAAATAATGGATGTTTATGTTTGGATAGGTGTTTGTTTGTTTGTTTGTTTGCTTGTTTGTTTTTTTGAGACAGAGTCTCGCTCTGTCGCCCAGGCTGGAGTGCAGTGGCATGATCTCGGCTCACTGCAAGCTCCGCCTCCTGGGTTCATGCCATTCTCGTGCCTCAGCCTCCCGAGTAGCTGGAACTACAGGCGCCCGCCACCACACCTGGCTAATTTTTTGTATTTTTAGTAAAGACGGGGTTTCACCGTGTTAGCCAGGATGGTCTCGATCTCCTGACCTCGTCATCCACCCGCGTCAGCTTCCCAAAGTGCTGGGATTACAGGTGTGAGCCACCACACCCGGCCAGGATAGGTTTTAACTTCTTAATCACCTCTTACATCAGACTGCTGTACTCTTTTAAGGTTTGCCCTGTATACCACATGGCAGAGCTTCCAATGGAGTCCTGTGCTGCATTCCAATTGGGGCTCCCTGAGCAGGGAGGCCTCCGTCACCTCCTCACCTGGCTGTGCTGACCAGGCTGCTGACCCCACTCCTGCCCTCCCTCTGCCATCTTCCCCTCTGTTGGTCTTCTGCATGCTAGCTACTTCCTCTATTATTTGTACTACGTGTAAATTTTTCACAATTGATGTTGTGTTTAGTTGAAGAAAAATAGTGTATACTTGTTGGTAGTCTCTAGATCACTTAAATAGTTCTTATTTCCAAATATTTTGAACTAAAATTATTCTCTCCCTGTTGATACCAAACAGCAGTGGTTTTTAATGTTTTTTAAAATTTGTGGAATCTTCAAGTCAGGTATGATCTTAAGATGCTCCATTATATTAAGAAGGAAGGGGAGGAGGGGGAGAAGGATGTGGGGGAAGAGGAACAGCTGCTCTTTTAAAAATGGTATGAGGGTGGGCCCCCACCCCAGCCAACCTTGCCTGTCGCTCCAGCTCCCCCTCTTCTGATCAGTTCACACAGGCTTTTCCATGCCTTGGCCTTTGAAATACTTGAAAAGTTGTGATTCTCTTGGCCCCTAACTCTTCTCTGAATGCAGACTAAATGCTCATTAACACCATGTAATTATGGAAGTCTTGGCCCTGAGCTGGTGGTGCAGTGCTGGAGAGCCAGGATAGGGGGCTGGGGGCATGGGGAGGGTAGGGAATGCTGCGGATTCTTCCCAGCCCCTCAGGTTCCCCTCAAAGGATCTCTCCCGAGGCCAAATACAGGCCCCTGGGGCTTTCTGTCAACTTCATACCCCAGTTCTCTGCTGGTCGTCCTTCCACCACAGCCAGGAGGCCTGTCACAACCTCCCGGCCCCTCTTCTGTTACTTCTCTGGGTCCCATGGTGAGGGGCACTTGGGTGCTCCCCGCCTCTGCCGCTCCAGCATGGACTATGATGTCCCTCACGGCCTGGAAGGTCAGTGTCCTTTAGAATCTTCACTCTTTACCAGGTCCTTAGCTGTGTACTCAGCAGTGGGAGACAGCGGCCAGAGGCTGAGATCCAACCCTGCTCAAGGCAGAGGTGGGTCATGGTATTCAGGCCAGGCCTCCAGAAGGTCACACTACCTCTTGGTGACACTCTGTGTCAGGTGCTGGTCAGTTTCCATAGTGTACCCTGCTCCCTGTTCCCCTAACAATCCTGAGAGGCAGGCATGCTAGGCCCCCAATATTATAGTGGGCGGCAGCAGATTCCAAGAATTCTGAAAGTGTGAGACCTCCAACTGTTCTTTTTCAACATTGGCTGGTTCAGGGTCCCTTGAGGTTCCCTATGAATTTTAGGATGGATTTTTGTTTTCTGCAAAAAAAGGCATTGGGATTTTAATAAGAATTGTATTGAATTTGTGGATTGCTTTGGGTCATATTGACATATTACCAGTGTTAAGATTGCTTAAAAAGCAATAACCAACTGCTTATTGCAAATCTAAAAGGTGACAAGATGACCTAAATTAAATGTTCTTCAAAATTTCTGAACCTCTGTCACTATGTGACTGAAGCTGTTCCTGTTTCTTTCTTCTCCCCTCTGTATCTTCCTCCCTGTTTCCCCTTCTTTCTTTTAAAAATGACCACAATATAGTAACGGAGCATGCCATATTTCATAGTTTTATGTATGTAATTGGTTTTGCTAGCCACATGTCAAGTTATTGTGTCACTTGGGACAAAGAAAAAAAGAAATGTGTTGAAAATTCAGCTGTCTCAGAAACCTAATAATCAGCTGCATGCTAATGGATATATTTATCTAAAGTTTGTCAATATAATTAGAGAACCTTGATGGCAGACCCAGTAATCACGTCATGTGGGGTTATCTTGCATATGCTGCTCTTTCACATTAACCTGTTTTTGGTTAACCTGTTTTTGGTAAGACACTTATTTTTTGATGATTGAAAAAGGGAAACAGCAGTTGTATCTGTTTTCTTTTAGGTGCTTGCCCAGCTACTGTGAGCATGGGGGCGAGTGTTCCCAGTCGTGGGACACCTTCTCCTGTGACTGTCTAGGCACAGGCTATACGGGCGAGACCTGCCATTCCTGTAAGCCTCACGCCTCCCTCTCGTTTCTGTCAGCATCTCTTCGTCATTTCATTTTGATTAGTTGTTTATATGTATCTGCATATTTGCAATCATGCAAACACATCAGAAGAGATATTTCAGCACTCAATTTCTAGTTTACTTTTAATCCACCTTATTTAATACAAGGTGTTGAGACAGTGCACAGAAATACGTGGTACGCATAGGATTGAAAAAAAGAAACTGGCAAGCAATGGGGAAATAAGTCTAGGAGAATCAGATATAGTAAAAGGTAGAAACTAAATTAAATTAAAAATGCATGATGTAACAGCTTGTTCCATTACTTGAGTTGGACCATACTTTTAATTCTGAGAATCTTCTCAGTCAAAGAAAGGTGGAAAAACAACCCCTTGCCAGGCTGTCAATGCTACATTTAAGGTATTTAAAGATTTTTTAACAATCACTGGGATGATGCAATCATGGGATTGTACATGGTAAGATTTTTGAAGAGGTAATGGGATATCAGCTAGAAACTAGAGGACCTTTAAGATCTCTTACAATGACTGTGATTTTCTTTGGTGGTGGTGATGATGATTGTAAAGTGAATAAGTGTAAAAGTATTAATGTATTGAGTACTTATGTCAGCCCTCTGCTATTGCTTTGCATATATTAACTCATTTAACCCTAAAGAAGCTCCAGGAAGAAAGTACTCTTATTATCTTCATTGCAGAGTTGAGGACAGAAAGAGGTTAAGTAACTTGGCCCCCAGCTAGTTTGTGGGAAGATGAGGAGTTGAGCTAAGGAGGTTGGCTCCACAGCCTTGGCTCCAGGATGCCTGATTGGTGGTCCATGCACCAGCAGCACCCACAGCCCCTGGGAGCCTGTTGCAAGTAAAGACTCTCAGGCCTTACCCAAACTTACTAAATCAGAATCGCTGGAGATGGGGCCCCGAGTCTCTTGTAACCAACCTTCCTCATGCTTCTGGTAGACATTTAAGTGTAAGAACAATGTCTAAGGGATGGCATATTCTAACACTTCTCAACTGCCTCTGCCATATTAAAAATCATCTGTCTTTACTGAAGAATCACCCTCTGTGAATTTCAAAGGCCATGCCATTTTATTGACCTCTAACCTGTTATAATTAGAACATCACAGAATCTGAAAAGCCTTTTTTTTCCTATTTGTTTTTAACTTTTAAAGTTTTCTTTCTGTATATCTCTACTGACGTTTCTGAGCAACTTCTCCTCAGGAATATTTCGCCCATCCCTGGGTCTTCAAGGAAACAGAGATGCAAAGTCCTCAGTTCCACTTGCTCATCCTGAGTTCCTAATTGAAACTTTTAAGAACTCTTCCGTGAGACATTTGATTTTCACAAAAGCCACAGGAGAAAGGCAGGCTGTGGAGTGTTAAAACCACAGTTCATACATGGAATGAGAATTCTGCGCTCCCAGTCCTGAGGTTCTGTAAAGGATCTGGGCAAAAGAGGAGACAGTCCAGGAGTGACTCTCACAGATTGAAGCATGAAGTATGATTTTTGTACTAGAAGGGTCCCTGTTTATAAAGCCGTGACACATTTTCTTTTTTTTTTTTTTTTGAGACGGAGTCTTGCTCTGTCGCCCAGGCTGGAGCCCAGTGGCATGATCTCAGCTCACTGCAAGTTCTGCCTCCCGGGTTCACGCCATTCTCCTGCCTCAGCCTCCCGAGTAGCTGGGACTACAGGAGCCCACCACCACACCTGGCTAATTTTTTGTATTTTTAGTAGAGACGGGGTTTTGCCATGTTAGCCGGGATGGTCTCGATCTCCTGACCTTGTGATCCACCTGCCTTGGACTTCCAAAGTGCTGGGATTACAGGCATGAGCCACCATGCCCAGCCGCTGTGACACATTTTCTAGGAGTTGAGTGGCCTCTCACACCAGAGGTTGAATGTCTTGATAAGGTCATAGAGTTGGTGCAGGGAGTACATCTTTTACTTCTGTGTATCTTTCATCCTCCAGGCATAGTATCTTACCTAAAAGCAGAAGCCTAATCTTGTGTGTTACCTGGCAAATTTATATCCACCACCACACTCAGCATCATCTGATTGCATTTAATGTTGCAATTAATCAATGAGTTATATTAGTCCATGGTTATTCACTGCAATCAAAATATAACTCCAAAAACTTCTGAGGGAAAATATCAGGAGATTGAAAAAGTATTTCAAGTGTCAGTCTCATCTAATAGTTGACGGCTATAGGTAGAAATTTGCCAAGTCCACAGTCATTCACTGTGAGACTAGACTGCCACACCTAGTTGAATAGGTTATTTTGTATTTCTAATTGTATAACATGTATCAATTATGTGCAACTAATTAATTGTATATAATTATTAATTGTATATAACTCATTAATTGTATTCAATTGATATATACTATACATTAATACATGTGTACATTATCATTTAAAAAGCCAAAAAATTCACATAAAGCACAAATTCTAGTCACTTTCCTCAATATTTGTCTCCATTCCAAACCTAGTCTGTGCCCTATATTTAAGTATTGTTATTAATTTGAGTGAATCCTACCAGACATATACAAATATATGTATCTATTTAAATCAATATGCCATAAATGGCAAAAAAATAAAGATTAGCAATGTCCATCTCCTGCAGATATTAATTCCATACCTTGTACTTGGTAAAACATTTGCTTGCACAAATGAAAATATTCAATTATGCTAGAGTAAATTTACATTATATAGGGATATCTTTCAAAAAAGTTTCTCTCCTGTTTTGAATTTCAGCTGTCTTGAATTGTCACTTGCAAAATACTTAGGGAAGTTTCTTTTTTAAATCAGCTTTAATTATTTTTTAATGATGAGATGTTGATAGCTTATAAATTCTATTTATCTCTTTAAAATGCTCATTCATATTGTTTTAAAGGAAGCAAAGGGTATAACTGCCGCATAGCTTAAGAAAAACTTTACAGAATGCTTATGGGAAAATACCAGATTATTTAGGCAGTTTAATGTGCTCAGGTATTCAGTTATTACAGGGTGAATGAGGGTTTCTTCCTTAATTATAGAGTTTAATTCTGAGGTATAGTTGCCATGAGTTTGAAAAGAACCATGTTTCAATAGCACGCAGAATTCAGATTCACAAAGTTTTCCTCTCATATCTCTTCAAGTGTTTTACACTGTGCTTCAGAGTTTGCATGCTTTCTTGCCTAAAAGCAAAAGAAAACATTTATGTAGAGAAACTACAGTCTCTAGACATTGCCAAAAGATTGTCTATTGAAGATAGTATCGCATTCCCACTGTAAGCACATCTTCATGTTTGAACACCAACACAATCTTTCCTTCTTCCTCAAAATAGAAATACACTGTGACCAAATATTTATTCAGCATCTAACAACATCCAACATTTGAATGTATTTTGACTAGGTAATTTTTTTCTCCTTTGTTAATAAAAATAGATTTAATTTTTTTAATGTCATTTTTTTGCATCTCATCAAATATACTGTCATACACTATCAAAATGATGTTGGGTCATATGTATCACATGTCTGTAATTCAGAAATGCAAACCTTTGGACACTGACTCAACATCTGGAGATATTTTTTCTGGTTCTTATGGCTGGTGTTCTCCTACAGCTCTCTACGAGCAGTCTTGTGAAGCCCACAAGCACCGAGGGAACCCGTCTGGGCTTTACTATATTGATGCAGATGGAAGTGGCCCCCTGGGACCATTTCTTGTGTACTGCAATATGACAGGTATGTTGATAATCGTTATATGCATATATCAGAATAGACCAAGGAGAAATTTACCTAGTTGGCAGCATTATTAAAACATGCAGTTTGATAGTGTGTACTTGCTAAGTAGAAGCATTAAATATATATTTATTAATTTTGTTGTCAACAAAATTTTCTTGTATTTCTTGTTTGCCTGGGTTGGATTATAGGAAAGATTCAGTGCTCTGCCAAGGCATCTCTCTAGCTCCTACACTCTTCGTAATACATCTGTTCATGTGCATCATGAAAAATACAAACCTCTGATTCGGTAATTTACATGCTTTCTGTATTTAGAAAAAACAGAGGTCTTTAAAAGTGCTAAGAAATAACATAGATATGTTAATGTTCTATGTGCATCTTAAATAATTTAGTGATTTTTATGGCATATAATTTTTTCATAACCAAAGAAACTTGATTATTTCTCGTGCTTTAGATATTAGAAATGAACACTGCTTGGGCTGGGCATGGTGGCTCACGCCTGTAATCTCAGCACTTTGGGAGGCCAAGGCGGGCAGATCACGAGATCCAGAGATTGAGACCATCCTGGCCAACGTGGTGAAACCCCATCTCTACTAAAAATACAAAAATTAGCTGGGCATGGTGGCACCCGCGCCTGTAGTCCCAGCTACTTGGGAGGCTGAGGCAGGAGAATCCCTTGAACCAGGGAGGCAGAGGTTGCAGTGAGCCAAGGTTGCGCCATTGCACTCCAGCCTGGCGACAGAGCAAGACTGCATCTCAAAAAAAAAAAAAAGGAAAAAAAGAAATGAACACAGCTTGATTATAGAAGATTGCACTAGAATGCCTTTTAAATAGTTACATTTTTACAGAAATTTGTTGTCACCTAGCTCTTCCAACTCTCTGCAAAGTGGAAATCTGGAATAAACTGTTCTCATTTATTGTGCTGACAAAAGGTTTCAAAAGTTTCATAAATTTGGACAATAACCAAATGGGTCAGCAAGCATCAAGGAAAAAGAAACAAATAACTGAAATTACATGGGCATTTAAAGTGCCTTAGCAAAGATTGCCAAAAAGTAGTAAAACTTTACAGGGGACGTTCAGAAGATTCAGAGCCACCTGCACAGCAATGTGCTGAAGATAAAGAAACACAGGCGTTCTGCCATAAGATACCAATTACCTCCAAAATCCCCTGACTCAAACAATGAAAGCAAAGTGAGAAATCCCATAAAAATGGTCTTGGTGGATATCAAAAGACTCAACCAAAGTCACAACCAGGAAGGACCTTGGTTGTCATCATTTTAAGATGAGGAAACCAAGGCTCAGAAAAGTTGGTTAGGGAAGTATCTACTGACAAAATCTAGCTAATGATAGGGGAATCACTAAACTCTGGTCTCTTTTCTGCCCTAGAAAATGTCACCTTCTCTTTAGATGCCCCATTGCGCTATAGCCAGTAATAAATTCTCTAGTTGTACAAATCAAGCAATAATGATTATAAAATGTGCAATTTCAAACTACTCTAATAGCTTGAAATGTATATATGGTAATAACCTTCAAAAAGCAGTTGCTTCAGAGCTTGGAAGTCAGCACTCTGTCTTAAGAACAAGTAAAAAGCCAGGCAAACTGAAAAATCAACCAATTTTTTTAGATCCAGCAGAGAAGTGAGGTCACAGAACAAACCACTGCCCCTCAAAATTGGAGAGACAGGCAGGCTTATATACAGAATGACAATTTTCTTCCACAAGCACTAACCTTTGGGGAAACCGTTGTCAAGGTAGGAAAACCTAAACTTAATTGACGAATTGTTGGATGTTCGATGTGGACACATCTGAGAGTTAAAAACTCCAGGAAGACCCAGACAGAGAAGGGTCCCCACACTTCTGTGAGTTTGACACCTAGCTTGACCAGGTTCTCACAGTGAATGTTGGAGAAAAATCTCCTCATGCTTCCAGAAAGGGAAGGTGAAAAGGAACCGTCTTGAAGTACACCAAAGCTTTCTGTTCTTCTTAACAAGGTCTTTCCTCAAGGGCAAATATTTCACCTAAGCTACTGGTGTTTTGTTTTCTTGTTTTGTTTTGTTTTGTTTTGTTTTTTGTTTTCAGAGCCTAACCTGCCTGGAGGAAGGAAATTACCCACCTCTGGCCATCCTGTCCCCAAGTAAGGGTGGTGATGGGAAGGGAGGGCTGAGAAGCTCTTGTGAAGGTCACAGCCCAGAGGCTAAGGCTCCCTAAAGGACTCAGACCTAATCACAGGGCTATAGAACCTTTCCCCTTCCCACACATGTTACTTATAGTACTGCAGGCCTCTTTACAGCAGTTACAGTTACTTTTACCTGGTACATCACATCTGGTTATCAAGAAAAAATTTCAGCTGGACCTATAATCCTATTACTTTTTGAGAAGCTGAGGAGGGAAGATAGCCTGAGACCAGTTTTAAGACCAGTCTGGGCAACACAGTGAGACCCCCACCTCTGCAACAACAACAACAAAAACAACAACAAAACAGCATTGTGACAACAACAACAACAACAAAACAGCATGGTGACATGTATCTGTAGTCCCAGCTACTTGGGAGGCTGAGGTGGGAGGATCGCTTGAGCCTGGGAGTTGGAGACTGCAGTGAGCCATGGTCACACCACTGCACTCTAGCCTGGGCAACAGAGAAAGACCTTGTCTCCAAAAAAAGAAAAAGAAAAAAGTTCAAGGCAAAAAACACACTTTGAAGAGACAGAGCAAGCATTAAAAACAGACGGTGGCTCACGCCTGTAATCCCAGCACTGTGGGAGGCTGAGGCAGGTGGATCACGAGGTCAGGAGATCGAGACCATCCTGGCTAACACGGTGAAACCCTGTCTCTACTAAAAATACAAAAAAAATTAGCTGGGCATAGTGGCGGGTGCCTGTAGTCCCAGCTACTCGGGAGGCTGAGGCAGAAGAATGGCATGAATCCGGGAGGCGGAGCATGCAGTGAGCTGAGATCATGCCACTGAACTCCAGCCTGGGTGACAGAGCAAGACTTTGTCTCAAAAAAACCAAAAAACAAAACAAACAAAAACCAGAGTCAGATATGGCAGGGACATTGGAATTATCAGACCAGGACTTTAAACAACTATAATTAATATGGAAAAAGCTGTAATGGATAAAATAGATAGCATGCAAGACCAGATGAACAATGTAAGCAGCAAGATGGAAATTCTAAGAAGCAAAAAGGAGTGCTAGAGATCAAAAACAGCATAACAGAAATGAAGAATGCCTTTGATGGGCTTATTAGTAGACCAGGCACAGCTTTGGAAAGAATCCCTAAGCTTAGAGATACCTCAATAGAAACTTGCAAAACTGAAAAGCAAAGAGAAAAAAAGACTGAACCCCACCCCCCGCAAAAAGAAAACCCAGAACATAATATCTGAGTACAGTGGCACAACTAAAAAAGGTGTAACATACGTGTAAAGAGAATTCTAGGAGAAGAAAGAAAGAAAGGAACAGAAGCATATTTGAAGAAATAATGACTGAGAATTCCCACAAATTAGTATCAGACACCAAACCACAAATCCAGGAAGTTTAGAGAACACCAAAGAAGGAGAAATGCCCCCAAAACTCTACCAGGCTTATATTTTCAAACTATAGAATTCAAAGATAAAAGTAAACTCCTTTTTTTGAGATGGAGTTTTACTCTCATTGCCCAGGCTGGAGTGCAATGGTACGATCTTGGCTCACCACAACTCCGCCTACTGGGTTCAGGTGATTCTCCTGCCTCAGCCTCCTGAGTAGCTGGGATTATGGGCATGTGACACCATGCCTGGCTAATTTTTGTATTTTTAGTACAGACAGGGTTTCTCCATGTTGGTAAAGCTGGTCTTGAACTCCCGAACTAAGGTGATCCACCCACCTCAGCCTCCCAAAGTGCTGGGATTACAGGCATGAGCCACCGTGCCCAGGCCAGGTAAAAGTAAATTCTTAAAAATAATCAGAGGAAGAAAGCACCTTACCTACATAGGAGATAAGTATTACAGCGACTTCTCTTCAGAAATCATGCCAGCAAGAATGGAGTGAGATACTTAAAGTGTGAAAGAGAGAAAACAAAACAAAACAAAACCTTCTCCTTGAAAAGTGAAGAAATAAAGATTTTCTCAGACAAATGAAAGGGTCAGTTCTCTAAAAGAGATAACCTTAATATGTATGCTCCTGACAACAGAACAGTGGATCTTATTTTCTTTCTTCTTCTGGGACATATAGGAATGGGTATACCAGATGCTGGGGATTTCATATGATATACTAAGTAAATTTTAAGTGCAGACAATCCCCGTTTACAATGGTTCTACTTACAATATTGCGACTTCACTATGTGAAACCATATGCATCCCTATTTCAAGTACCCATACAACTATTATTTTTATTATTATTATTATCATTATTATTATTATTATTATTTTGAGACAGAGGCTTGCTCTGTCACCCAGGCTGGAGTACAGTGGCACGATCTCGGCTCACTGCAACCTCCACCTCCCAGGTTCAAGCGATTCTTCTGCCTCGGCCTCCCCGGTAGCTGGGACTACAGGCACGTGCCACCACGCCCGGCTAATTTTTTGTATTTTTAGTAGAGATAGGGTTTTACCATGTTAGCCAGGATGGTCTCGATCTCCTGACCTCGTAATCTGCCTGCCTCGGCCTCCCAAAGTGCTGGGATTACAGGCGTGAGCCACCATGCCTGGCCACAACCATTATTATTATTTTCTTTTTTACTCTCAGTACAGTAGTTAATAAATGACATGAGATATTCAACACTTTATTATAAAATAGGCATTGTGTTAGATGATTTTGCCCAACTGTAGGCTGATTTAAGTGTTCTGAGCACATTTAAGTTAGGCTGGGTTGAGCTAGGTTCAGTAGGTCACATGTATTAAAGTGCATTTTTAATTTATAATAAGTTCATCTGGATGCAACTTCATCATAAATTGAGGAACATCTGTACTGTTAATTCCAATCAAAATCATGAAGTTAAATTAGCTTAATTTTCAAAGTCGGATATTTATTTGAGCAACAGGAGTGGAACAGGGATCAACGTGTTACAGTTACCCTCCTTCTGGGCTAGTGAGACAGCCTCCAGTGTGTTCGGACTCAGCCACACCTCTGAACCCCTTTCCACATTTAGCCACTGTTATAATTAATCTACTCAGGTCCAATTCACTTGAGCCCAGGAGGTCGAGGCTGCAGTAAACTATGAAGGTGCCACTGCACTCCAAGCTGGGCAACAGAGGGAGACCCTATCTCTAATAAAAAAGAAAAAGAAAAATATAAGGGTTATATTAGATGCTCTTTAAGATCCTTTCCAGTTCCAATATGCTTATAATCAATTGAAATAAATTATGAGCAATTAAGGAAACCAAAATGGTCTATGTCCTTCTTTGGGTGTTTTACTACTGATATTATAAGGAGAAGTGAGTCAAGTGGAATTTTATAAACACAAATGCATAGCCTATAATGTCCCTGGTTACTATTCTACTCTTCAGAAAAACAAGTTTTACAGATGTATTCTCAACAGTTCCCTTCTCAGTACTGAGGGCATTTCTGTGATCACATCTTAACCATGGGTGACTGCAAATCTATCATACTGCCCACCGGCCTATGTGAACTACTCTGGACCATCATTTCTCTCCCATTGTACAACAAATCATGAACACATGGCCAAAAATGGCATGTGGTTGATCATCTTCAATGCCCAACTTAGTGTTCCATAGGTTTTTCTATATTTGATTCAGTTGATAGGAAAACTCTGAAGGTGAGAGTAGGTGATGTGCACAGAGTAACACCAGGTTGTAAAAATTCTAAAATGAGGCCAGGCGTGGTGGCTCACACCTGTAATCCCAGCACTTTGGGAGGCCAAGGTGGGTGGATCACCTGAGGTTGGGAGTTCAAGACCAGCCTGGCCAACATGGTGAAACCCCCGTCTCTACTAAAAAAATACAAAAATTAGCCAGGTGTGGTGGTGTGTGCCTGTAGTCCCAGCTACTTGGGAGGCTGAGACAGGAGAACTGCTTGAACCCAGGAGGCAGAGGCTGCAGTGAGCTGAGATAGCGCCACTGCACTCCAGCCTGGGCAACAGAGCGAGACTCTTATCTCAAAAATAAATAAATTAAATAAAAAATCTAAAATAAAAAAAATAGAGCAATATTAAAGGAAGAACCCATGGAATTGAAATTACCATAGGCACACTTAGAGCCTCCTTTGGTGAGTACAGTGAGTGGAGTGATAATTTAATTTAAAATTGCATTCATTATTTAAATTTGCAGATTTTTTTCTGTACTTGTGGCTCATTTGTGGATATCACACCTTTCCTCTCCATGGGTTCTGTGACTAAAGAGATATTTCAGTAGCATGGCTGGTTTTCTTTTCCTTCTTTCCTCTGATCTCTGTTGTTAGGCGTGTGTAAGTAACAGTAAGGCTGTGAAATTTGTCTTACGCACAGTTAGCAGCCAAGCCATTAGAAATCCTGAGATGTGAAGGGCTGGCAGGGTGATTTCTCAAGGTAAAATGTATCACATTGTTTTGTTTCGTAGTTCTTAAAAAATCCCCATACGAATGTTTCTTCATTTCTCCAGTTCGGAAAATTTTTATGTAAAATGTCCATTATTCTAAATACATCTTATTAGAGGTTAAAGGACCAGACAGCACCAGCATAGTAGAATTAAAGTGACTTCAAGTCTGGTGGGAGGTCCATTTTTGGGAACACTAAAGAACTCAAGATGCACTTCTTCCCTTTTGAGATTGTGGAGTCATTTTGTTTTTATTTCATCAAAACAATATAAGTAATCAAGTGACAGAGATACATCAGAAATGATGTCAGCAGGCAGTCAGATGCTCAGGGTCACCGCCTGGAAAGTGCTGTTAGAAGCTCAAGGCCTCTGATTCCTCTGGGCTTGGTCACTGATGGATAAGCTGACATAATTAAACCACTTTATTTTAATAGAGCTGCTTCCTATCATACCTGTGAGTATGTGCGTCACATCGTCCCAATATGTATCTTTTATAAATTTATTCGATAATGAAAGAAATAGAGGCACATACAGATGAGGAAAATGCAGATGAGTTTAAAAAGATAAAGGTCCAGGTAGTAACAGTTTGGCCCCATGCTTGTGTTGATATAAAAAAATGGTTTTAACAACTAAAAAGTCATTGCTTACATGATACACTTTTAGGCGTGACGTCACAAAAGTTTGGTCATCAGTTCTTCCAATATGCTTTCTCTTAGAGGCTGAGTTCTGGCTCAGTACATTGTTACACAGGTCCAACTCCTCAAATCGCGGCAAACATGCAGTAATGTAAATTTCAATTAAACGTTAATTCACATAAAAGACAGGTCTGCTTTGCCTCTTGCTGCTGGCCTCTGCCGCCCAGTGATGCCTCTCCTTTGCCCGTTTCTGCTCAGCAGACGCCGCGTGGACGGTGGTGCAGCACGGTGGCCCCGACGCGGTGACCCTCCGAGGTGCCCCCAGCGGGCACCCGCGCTCGGCTGTGTCCTTCGCGTACGCAGCGGGCGCGGGGCAGCTGCGGTCCGCGGTGAACCTGGCGGAGCGCTGCGAGCAGAGGCTGGCTCTGCGCTGCGGGACGGCGCGGCGCCCGGACTCACGAGGTAAGCGCCACTCCTGGAGGCTACAGGGGCTCACGGGGCCGGGGCGCGGCCCTCGGGCTGCGAGATGCGTTTGAGGGAGAAAAGGCCAGGGTCCCTCCCGTGGCTCTTAGTTCAAAGCCCTGACCACTCTCTCCTTCTCTTCCCGCTCTTGGTTGGACCAAAGAGCATTCAAGAGCGCCTTCCTGACCATTGAGAGACGTTCAGCGCGTTCATATGCAGGACTAGTGACTTGTCCTTTCTTAATCAAGGGAAATTTTGCTGATAACTTATGCCTTAGCTTTCCGTTCACACTGAGGAGATAATGGCTGTAGGGCAGGCTGGGTCTAACAGTTCTTCATGAAGACCAGTGGGAACCGGTAACCACCTTACTCTGGTCAAAGTCTTCCTCTAAATCTACCTGGAACGTTTGTTTCCTCCCTTTAGATTAACTGAATATGCCCTTCCTCAGCCCCGCCACTTTCACTGTGGTCTAGGATGAAATAATGACTAGGGTTATTAAAACCTTTTGTCAGTGGGTGTCTCATTTTTTTGAAATTATATCTTGAGAAATGTATACCTTAATCTTCATATATGGAAGTAATGTTTTGGAAACTCTGCCTGCATCAAAACCATCTTCTCCTAAGTTAAAGACCAACTTCCCCCTCCTTTCCGGAATCCCCACAAGTCCCCTGCAGGACTCACCGCTGCTCTCCAACAGTTTCCATATAGTTTCTTGAAAGCACTTTATTGCTAATTATAGTTAAATACTGAAATTTGCCTTTCTTTTTTTAGTTTTAGCAATCCCAAATAGTATATAGGCGGGAGGATCACTGGAGCCCAGGAAGTCCAGGCTGCAGTGAGCTGTGATTGCTTCACTGCCTCCAGCTTGGGCAGCAGAGCAACACCTTGTCTTAAAAAAACAAAAACAGTATATGTCGGTAGCATAATAAAGCCACTTAAATTAAATTTCACTCTTTAATTTTCAATACAAAATCTTTAAGTTGGAAAGTGGTGTATGACTGTCATCTGAAGGTGGTTTGCGCTGATCCACTAACCCATACCTGCATTGCCTTCCCTAATCCGTCTGGCCAATCAGCCCCTGGAATATGCCAGACCATTTCCTCTGCCTGGATTGGCCTCTCTGTCACCCAGGCTGGAGTGCAGTGGCACGATCTTTGCTCACTGCAACCCCCTCCCCTCCCGGATTCAAGCGATTCTCCTGCCTCAGCCTCCCGAATAGCTGAGAATACAGGCGGGTGCCGCCATGCCCGGCTAATTTTTGTATTTTTAGTAGAGACGGGGTTTCACCGTGTTGGTCAGGCTGTTCTTGAACTCCTGACCTCAGGTGATCCGCCCGCCTCAGCCTCCCAAAGTGTTGGGATTACAGGCGTGAGCCACCGCGCCCGGCCCTCACACTCTTAAATCTTACCCACTGTGCTAGACCTGTGCAGTCGGCATCTGGGTCCCTTCCCAGGGTGATCCCTCTCTCCCCTGGATGCCTGCCAGCCAATTTGGTCTAGTAGAAAGAGCAAAGGTCTGGTTGCATTCAAAGTTTGAAGTTCAAGTGGTAAGTCTGTCACTTAGCAGCTGTGGAAATTTAGGCCATTCCTTAATCTTTCTCAGACTTTGTTTCCTCTTTGATGAAATGGACCCTGTAGTACTGATCTCATGGGGTTTCTTTTATAAATGAGATAGCTTACATAAGTTCAGTAAGTAAGAAACTCTCCTTCCCAGTTCTCCAGTTTTTTAAAGTTGGCATTACAAAACTTAATTATTTGTTAGTTCATTGCTGTTGAATGAAGTGTAGCCTTGGCTTTGGAATTGTTTAAAAAAAAAATCCCCAGGTGATCTTTTGGAAACTACTGGGCTAGGGGCTAAAATAACACAAGAAATGGAATATTCTACTCCCATCAGTGAGAATTTCCCTATTTCTCCTCTTTTGAAAAGATAATTTAAAAAAAAATTTGAGATAATTGTAGATTTACATACACTTGTGAGAAGTAACAGAGAGAACCCGAGTAGCCGTTAAGCAGTTCCCCCACCCCAAGGTGACATCTTGTAGAAGTATAGTGCAATATCACAGCCGGAATCTTGACATCCATACAGTCAAGATACACAGTATTTCCATCAGCACAAGAATTCCTCCTATTGGCCGGGCACGGTGGCTCATGCCTGTAATCCCAACACTTCGGGAGGCCGAGGCGGGCGGATCACGAGGTCAGGAAATCAGACCATCCTGGCTAACACGATGAAACACCGTCTCTACTAAAAATACAAAAAAGTAGCCAGGCTTGGTGGCAGGTGCCTGTAGTCCCAGCTACTTGGGAGGCTGAGGCAGGAGAATGGCGTGAACCCGGGAGGTGGAGCTTGCAGTGAGCCGAGATGGCGCCACTGCACTCCAGCCTGGGCGACAGAGCAAGACTCCGTTCCATCTCAAAAAAAAAAAAAAAAAAAAAAGAATTCCTCCTATTGCTCGTTAATAACCACTAGTATGTTCTCCATTTCTATGGGTTTTTTTAAATTTCAAGAATGTTATGTAAATGAAATTATATAGTATGTACTCTTTGTGGTTGAGTTTTTTTCACTCTGTGTAATCCTCTCTAGATTCATTTGCATAATTGTGTATATCAGTAATTTGTTCCTTTTCATTGCTGATTAGCAATCGGTGGCATGGATATACCAGAGTTTATTCACTCATTGAAGGGCATCTGGGTTGTTTGTTTACAGTTTGGGGCAATTATGAATAAAGCTTTTATGAACATTGTGTACAGGTTTTGTGTGAACATCAGTTTTCATTTATCTGGAATTAATGCCCCAAAGTGCAATTGGTGGGTCATATATGGTAATTGCATACTTAGTTTTATAAAAAGCTGCCAAATTGTTTTCTAGAATGGTTGTACCATTCCCACCAACAGTGTATGATTTCATTTCCTCCACATGCTCATCAGCATTTGGTGTTGTGACTATTTTTTATTTAAGCTATTCTGATAACTGTGTAGTAATATCTTTATTGTGGTTTTAATTTGTGTCTCCCTGATGTCTAATAATATTGAGCATGTTTTATATGCTTATTTGCCATCTGTATATCGTTTTCAGTGAGATAGATGTCTGTGAATGTGTTTTTGTTGTTGTTCATTTTCTAATTGGATTGTTTGGATTTGTTTTGTTACTGTTGAATTTTCAGTTCTTTATACATTCTAGATACTAGCCCTTTGCTGGATATGTGATTTGCAAATATTTTTTCCCACTCTGTTGCTTGCCTATTCATCGACTCTTAACTGGAATTTTTTAGAGCAAAAGTTTTAATTTTGATGAGATTCAGTTTATCATATTTTCCTTTTATGGGTTGTACACATCGTGTCAATTCTAAAAATTCTTTACCTAACCCTAAATTCCAATTCCAAAGATTTTTGAATTTTTTTCCTAAAAGTTTTCTAGTTTTACCTTTTACTTTTAATTCCATGCCCTATTTTGGGACACATTTTATATAAGATGTGAGAGTTGATTCTCTCTCACTCTCTCTGACTATGAATGTTCAGTTGCTCCAGAACCATTTGTTGAAAAGGCTATCCTTCCTGCATTGAATTGCATTTTAAATATTGTTAAAAATTGGTTGAACTTACTTGTGTGGTGGGTCTGTTTCTGCATTCTTTATCTGTTTCATTAATTTATATGCCTCCACCAATATCACACTGTCTTGAACATGGTAGCTGTATAGCAGGGTTGAGTTATTCCTCCTGCTTTATTCTTCTTTTTCAAGATTGTTTAAGTAAGTCTGTAGCTTGCCTCATTCTGTATAAATTTTGTAATAAATTTGTTTATGTCTACAAACATCTTGCTAGAATTTTTATGGGAATGACATTAAACATAATAGCTCAATGAAGGGAAAATTGGTGTTTCACTGTTTTGAGTCTTCCAATCCATGAACATGAGATATCTTTCCATTTATTTGGATCTTTGATTTCTTGCCTCAGCATTTTGTAATTCTTAGCATCCAGAGATTATATGTTTTATAAGTATGCTTAGGCATTTAGTTAGTTTCTTGATTGATTATAAGTGCTGTTGTGCTTTAAATTTTTGTTTACATATGTTTCTTGTTAGAATATGAAATATGATTGTTTCATACTAATCTTATAAGCTCTTTTTTGAACTTAATTTTTTTTTAGTTTCCTTGGGATTTTCTATATGGAAAATCATGTCATCTGCAAGTAGAGTCAGCTTTATTTCTTCCTCGTCAATCTGTAGGGAGTTAATTTATTTTTCTTGCTTTATTGCAGTAGCTAGACTTTCAATCCTAGGTTGAACTAGAGTGGTGAGGGCAGACATCCTTGCCTTGTTTCCTGTCTTAGGGGAAAAGCATTCATTCTTGTTTCCTATGTTATGTGGAGGTAGTTCCCTTTTATTCCTGGTTGGCTGACAGTTTTTATTTTGAAAGGACATTGGATTTTTGTCAAATGTCTTTTCTGTGTCAATTGGTATTAAAATATTATATTTCTTCTTTTGTCTGTTGATATGTTGAATCAGCTTTGCATAACTAGAGCAACTCCCATTTTGCCATAATGTATAATTTAAAAAATACATTTCTAATGTGTTTCATTTATTAATATTTTATTGAATATTTTTGCATTCAAATTCATAAGAGATATTGATATGTAGTTTTCTTTTTTCATATTGTCTTTATCTGGTTTCAGTATCAGGACAATACTGCCTACATAAAATGAATTTGGTAGCATTCTCTAGTCTCCTGTTTTCTGGAAGAGATTATGTAAAATTGACTTTAATTTTTATTTAAACATTTGGTAGAATTCTCCAGTAAGGCCCGGCAGGGTGGCTCACGCCTGTGATCCCAGCACTGTGGGAGGCTGAGGCAGATGGATCATTTGAGGTCAGGAGTTCGAGACCTGCCTGGCCAACATGGTGAAACCCCGTCTCCACTAAAAATACAAAAATTAGTTGGGCGTGGTGGCGCACACCTATAATCCCAGCTACTCAGGAGGCTGAGGCAGGAGAATCGCTTGAACTTGGGAGGCAGAGGTTGCAGTGAGCCAAGATCACACCACTGCACTCCAGCCTGGGCAACAGAACGAGATTTCATCTCAAAAATAAAAACCAAAAACAAAACAAAACAAAAAGAATTCTCCGTAAAACCATCTGGGCCAAGAGATTTTTTTTTCAGTAATTTTAAATTATGAATTCAATTTTCTTAATAGTTACAATTACTTAAATTACCTATTTAATGTTAGGTGAATTGTGGTAGTTTGTACTTTTTGAGAAATTTGTCCATTAATCTGAATTGTCAAGTTGATTTGTGTAGAATTATTTATAGTATTTTCTTATTATTTGTTTGATGTCTCCAGCATCTGTAGTGATATCCACTTAAATTTCTCATATTCATAGTTTGTCTCATCTGTTTTTGTCTCTGTCAGTCTTGATAGAAGTTTTTCAATCTTACTGTTTTTTAGAACTAGATTTTCGATTCATGATTTTCTCTATTATTTTTGTTTCAAATTCTATTGAAATCTGCTCTTCTCTTTGTTATCTCCTTCCTTCAGCTTGTATGAGTTAATTTTGTTTTCTAGTTTCTAGAGGTAAGAACTTACATTATTGGCTTTAGGGCTTTCTTCTTTCCTAATGTAGGCATTTAGTGCTACGTTTTCCCTATCAACACAGTTTTACCTACATTTCACATATTTTGATATGTTGTATTCTCATTTTCACTTAGTTTTTCATGTAGTTTCATTTTCATTTAAGTATTTTAATAAATTTCTTTGAAGCATATTCTTTGACCTGTAGCTTATTTAGAAGTGTATTTTTAAAAATTTCTAAGTGTTTAGAGATTTTCTTTTTCTCTTTCTGGTATTGATTTCCAGTTTGATTCCATTATGCTTACAGAATATACTTTGTATGATTTTAGTTCTTTTAAATATGTTGAGGTTTGTTTGGCTCGCCGGGATATGGTCTGTCTTGTAAATGTTTCATCGGCATTTGAAAAAAAAAATGTATATTCTGCTATTCTTAAGTGGAGTATTCTGTATGTATTTCAGTGAGATCCTGTTGTTTGATTATGTTGTTCAGATCTTGTATATCCTTGCTGACTTCTTGTCCAGTAGTTCTGTCAGTTGCTAAGAGAGACATTTTGAAATCTGTACTATAATTGTGGATCTGTTTATTTTTCCATTCTGCTCCATCAGTTTTCTTATATTAATAGGCTTTATATTTTTTAGCAATTTTAAGTTTACATAAAAATTGAGCAGAAAGTACTGAAAGCATATGATTTTTATTCTTTAGCTTGTTGATCTGATGGACTATATTAATTAATTTTCAAATGTTAAAGGCATATCTAGAGTAAATCCCACTTGGTTGTGGTGTTCATTTTTAAAAATTGTTTGGTTCAATTTGCTAATATTTTTTAAGGATTGCTTCATCCATGTTCAAGAGAGATATTTGTTTGCAGTTTACTTTTTTGTAAGGTTTTGCTGGTTTGGGTATTAGGGTAATGCTGGCCCATGGAATGAGTTAAGAAATAGTCACTCTGCTTCTATTTTCTGCAACAGATTGTGGAAAATTGGTATCATTTATTTCTCCAGTGTTGATAGAACTCACCAGTGAATCATCTGGGCTTGGTACCTTCTGTTTGGGAAGGTTATTAATTACTGGCTTAGTTAAAAAATTTTGTTTCTCTCGAGACTTTCTCTTTCACCATGTTTTATTATTTAGAAATGTGTTTTTAAATTTTTTGGTATTTGAGGATATTTCAGCTCTCTTTCTGCTATTATTAGTTTAATTCCATTCTAATTCAAGAACATGCCTTTTGTGATTTCTATTCTTTTAAATTTGGTAAAGTGTTCTGTGGCCTAGAATGTGGTTTAACTTAATGAATTGTGCATTTGTATTTGAGAAGAATGTGTATTCTGCAGTGTCTAGATAAAATATTCTACAACGCTAATTGAATTCTAAAGTATTCAGTTAGATCCAGTTGATTGATGGTGCTGTTCAGTTCAAATCTATCCTTAATGATTTTCTTCCTGCTGAGTCTGTCACTTACTCATAGAGGGGTGTTGAAGTCTCCAGTGGTAATAATGGATGTGTCTCTCTGTCCTTGCAGTTCTATCAGTTTCCCCCTAATATATTTTGACTCTTCTGTTGCTAGGTATATACACATTAAGCATTATTATATCTTCTTGTTATATTGACCCCTTTATTATTGTGTAATACCCTTTTTCATCTCTGATAATTTTCCTTGCTCTGCAGTTGGCTTTGTCTAAAATTAATTTAGATACTCTGGCTTTCTTTTTGGTTAGTGTTACCATGGTATATCTTTCTCTAGCTCTTCAAATCTACCTGCTATTTTATATTTAAAGAGGATTTCAGTAGACAACATGTAGGTGGATCATGGGTTTTGTTGTTGTTGTTTACTCTGACAGTCTCAGTCTTTTATTTTATTATTATCATACCTTAATTTCTAGGGTACATGTGCACAACGTGCAGGTTTGTTACATATGTATCCATGTGCCATGTTGGTGTGCTGCACCCATTAACTCATCATTTACATTAGCTATATCTCCTAATGCTATTCCTCCCCTCTCCCCCCACCCCATGACAGGCCCCAGTGTGTGATGTTCCCCTTCCTGTGTCCAAGTGTTCTCATTGTTCAATTCCCACCTATGAGTGAGAACATGCAGTGTTTGTTTTTTTGTCCTTGCGGTAGTTTGCTGAGAATGATGGTTTCCAGCTTCATCCATGGCCCTACAAAGGACATGAACTCATCCTTTTTCATGGCTGCATAGTATTCCATGGTATATATGTGCCACATTTTCTTAATCCAGTCTGTCATTGATGGACATTTGGGTTGGTTCCAAGTCTTTGCTATTGTGAATACTGCCTCAGTAAACATATGTGTGCATGTGTCTTTATAGCAGCATGATTTATAATCCTTTGGGTATATACCTAGTAATGGGATGGCTGGGTCAAATGGTATTTCTAGTTCTAGATCCATGAGGAATCGCAACACTGTCTTCCACAATGGTTGAACTAGTTTACAGTCCCACCAACAGTGTAAAAGTGTTCCTATTTCTCCACATCCTCTCCTGCACCTGTTGTTTCCTGACTTTTTAATGATCATCATTCTAACTGGTGTGAAATGGTATCTCATTGTAGTTTTGATTTGCATTTCTCTGATGGCCAGTGATGATGAGCATTTTTTCATGTGTCTGTTGGCTGCATAAATGTCTTATTTTGAGAAGTGTCTGTTCATATACTTCACCCACTTTTTGATGAGGTTGATTTTTTCTTGTAAATTTGTTTAAGTTCTGTGTAGATTCTGGATATTAGCCCTTTGTCAGATGGGTAGATTTCAAAAATTTTCTCCCATTCTATAGGTTGCCTGTTCACTCTGATGGTAGTTTCTTTTGCTGTGCAGAACCTCTTTAGTTTAATTAGATCCCATTTGTCAATTTTGGCTTTTGTTGCCATTGCTTTCTTAATTGGTATATTTAGACTGTTTACATTTAAAGTGATTATTGATACTTGGATTAATATTTGCCATATTGTAACTCTTTTTTATTTGTTGCCCTTGTTTCTTCTTTTTTTCCTGAATTCCCCTGTCATATTTTTTGTTTTAATTGAGCATTTTATATGATTCCATATCCTCACTTCTCCTAGAATATTAATTACATTTCTTGGTCATTGTTTTAGTGGTAGCCTTTGAGTATGAAATATACACTATAACAATCTACTTTCAAACAACACTATTCCACTTCATTAATGGTGCTGGTACTTTATAACACAGCATTTCCAATCCTTCTGTCTTATTTTGTATTACATTATTATCATTCATTTTACTTATTCATAAGCCATAATCACCCAATACATTGTTAGTATTATTTAGAGCTGTTACCTATTACATCAATTAAGAAGAAGACACTAGATTTTATTTTAAATTTTTTCTTCTCTAATGCTCCTACCTTTCTTTATGTATTTCTGTGTTTTTGACCTATATTGTTTTTCTTTTCTCTGAGGAACTTCTATTAACATGGCTTGCAAGGTAGGTCTACTGGAGAAAGATTTCCTCAATTCTGTTTATCTAAGTCTTTATTTCTACTTTACTATTTAGGATAATTTTACTGGATATAGAATTTTATATTAGTGTGTGTTTTCTCTCAACAGTTTAAATATTTCACTTCACTTTCTTCTTGCTTGCATGGTTCCTTAAGGGAAATCTGGCATAATTCTCATTCTTGCTCCTATGTAGGTAAGGTGTTTTATTTTACTCTGGTTTATTTCAAGATTTTATTTTTAAAAGATTTTATTTTAATTTTAAGAAAGTCTTCAATTTTTTGCAATTTGAATATGAGATGCCTAGGTGTGGATTTTTTTGTATTTAACCTGCTTGGTGTTTGCTGAGATTCCTGAACCTATGGTTTCATGTCTGTCATTAATTTTGAAACATTCTCAACTGTCATTATTTTAAATATTTCTTCTGGTTCTCACTCTCTTCCTTCTACTTCTAGTATTCCGATTATGGGTTACATAGGTTACACCGTTTGAAATTGTCCAACAGGGTCGGGCGCGGTGACTCACTTGCCTGTAATCCCAGCACTTTGGGAGGCCGAGGCGGGCGGATCACAAGTTCAGGAGATCCAGACCATCCTGGCTACCACGGGGAAACCACGTCTCTACTAAAAATACAAAAAATTAGCCGGGCGTGGTGGCGGGCGCCTGTAGTCCCAGCTACTCGGGAGGCTGAGGCAGGAGAATGGCATGAACCCAGGAGGCGGAGCTTGCAGTGAGCCGAGATTGCACCACTGCACTCCAGCCTGGGCGACAGAGAGAGACTCCATCTCAAAAAAAAAAAAAAAAAAAAATTATTGTCCAACAGTTTGGATATTATGTTTCATTTTTCATTCTTTTTCTCTTTGTGTTTAATGGAAAAATTTTATTGACATATCTTCAAACTCACTGATTCTTTCCTCAGCACTTCCCAGTCTTCCCAGACTTTGATGAGGCCATCAAAGACACTCTACAATTTTTACTTTTAATCTCTGTATTTCCTTCTGATTCTTTGAGATTTCATATCTTTGTTTATAGTACCTATCTCTTCTTGCATGTTGCCCACTTTTTCAACATAGAGCCCTTAGCATACTGATTATTATTTCAAATTCTTTATCTGATATTTCCAAATCTGTCATATCTGCATGTTTGCTTGATTTGTCTCATAAGACTGTATTGTTTGGCTTTAGCATACCTTGCAATTTTCTGTTGAAAGCCAGACATGTTGTATTGGCAAAGGAACTGAGGTAAGGAAGCCTTTAATGTAAGGTTTTATGTTTATCTAGTTAGTAGTTAGGCTGAATTTGCTCTTTGCATAACTGTGGTGTCAGAGGCCAAAATTTCCTCTAAGGTTATTTTATTTTTCTTTCTTCCGTTTTGAGTTTTCCCAGAGACTCTGTCTTAAATAGGGTCTAAAATTGACAGCTCTTTCATTTTTAATCTCCTGTTACTATACAGGTAATGTACTGATGTGATTGATGATAAGGTGCGGGAAGAGGAGAAGCATCGTATACTCATTTTTTTTTAATGTTTTTATTTTATTTTAATTTTTTTGAGAGAGTCTCGCTCTGTAGCCCAGGCTGGAGTGCAGTGGCGCCATCTCAGCTCACTGCAAGCTCCGCCTCCTGGGTTCACGTCATTCTCCCGCCTCAACCTCCCGAGTAGCTGGGACTACAGGCGCCCGCCACCACGCCCGGCTAATTTTTTTCTATTTTTAGTAGATACGGGGTTTCACCATGTTAGCCAGGATGGTCTCGATCTCCTGACCTCATGATCTGCCCGCCTTGGCCTCCCAAAGTGCTGGGATTACAGGCGTGAGCCACCGCGCCCGGCCAGAAGCATCCTGTACTGTTAGGATTAGGTCAGTCTTTTAGAGAACCTGTCTTCCTGGACTGTGACCTTCAGAGTGCTTCTCAGCTTCCTTCCCCTTCCCTTGGGTAAGAAAAGAAGGGTAGAGGGGGCTGGTGCTGGGTATTTCCATTCCCCTAGGTGGTTTAGGCTCTAGTAAACTAGCTTTTTGGGGGATTAGAATGTTGTTAAGGAGAGAACATAATGTTCTGCGCTTATTTCAAAAATGTTTTCTCCTTCCCTCCCCTTATGTCTTAGGACCCCAGGACTGGAGACATAAGAGCATTTTTTTTCCTATCTTTATTCTGAGAACTTGATGGGGCTCTTCCTGGAGATAAAACTCTTGAAGGTGTGTTGACCCTCTAAGGCCTATCCCCCACTCTAGGAGTTTTCAATCTCTGTAGCTTGTCCTTGCTCAGTATCCATCAATTAGTCAGTTACATTCTAAGTGCTTTTACCAGACTCCACCATCTGCTTTGGCTCCATTAGCTGTGATGCTGTTTTCACTTGTCTCTGCAGCTTTAGGAGTAATGTTTGCCCTATGACTTTAACTGTGTAAGAAGAACTGTTTATTTTTAGTTAGTGCAGCTTTTTTCTTGTTGTGAGAATGGGAGTGATGACTTCCAGACTCTTAACGTCATATCAGATTGGAAACCAGAAGTCTCAATTTTTGCCTCATTTTTTTAAGGGTGTATTGTTTCTTGCATATACATTTATGTCTTCCTGGTGATTTTTTTTAAATCATTATGTAATGTCCCTGTTCTAGTATTTTTGTTCTGAAGTCTATTTTATGAGATAGCCATTCTGCTTTCTTTCAAATTTAATTTTTGCAGAGTGTATTTTTTCCATCCTTTTACTTTTAACCTGCCTATGTTTATTTTGAAGTGAGTTTCTTATAAATTTCTCGTTGTGTTATTTTTTTTTCAGTTGATTCTGCCAACGTCTAACTTTTGTTATATTTTAACCATTTACATTTAAGGTAATTTTTATAATTTTCTTACTCGTTGCTTGGTATTATAGTTTACATATGTGACTTACCACAGTCAACTTAAATATCTTCACTCTCATAATGAAATATGTAATCCTTATGTCTATTTGGGTCCTTTATCTTCCCCACTTCTAAATATCATTGTCTTGAGTATCATATGGTATTACAATTTTTGTGTCAATTATCATATGTCATTTCAAAAATTGATAAGGATAGTCTATTACATTTATCCATATTTCTTCTCTTTTCATTTTTTTCCTGATGTTCCAAGAATCCTTTGTTATATTTTCCTTTCTTTTTGAAAAACCTCCTTTAGCCATTCTTTAGGGAATGTCTGCTAGCGACAAATTATTTTAGTTTTCTTTTGTGTTAAAAAGGTTTTTTGTTGTTGTTATTGTTTTGGAGATGGAATCTCACTCTGTCGCCCAGGTTGGAGTGCAGTGGCACAATCTCGGCTCACTGCAAGCTCCGCCTCCCGGGTTCACGCCATTCTCCTGCCTCAGCCTCCTGAGTAGCTGGGACTACAGGCTCCCGCCACTACGCTCGTCTATTTTTTGTATTTTTTGTAGAGACGGGGTTTCACCGTGTTAGCCAGGATGGTCTCGATCTGACCTCGTGATCCGCCCGCCTCGGCCTCCGAAAGTGCTGGGATTACAGGCGTGAGCCACCGCACCCGGCCTAAAAAGGTTTTATTTCCATTTTATTCTTGAAGGATAGTTTCTCTGGATATATAATTTATAGTTGACAATTCTTTTCTATCAGCCCTGAAAAAAATATGCCATTCCTTCTGGTTCTGTAATTTCAGATGAGTAATCTACTATCATTCAAATTAGGGTTCTTTTACAGGCAGGTAATGTGTTATTCTCTCAGGCTGCTTTCAAGATTTCTGTTTTGTTTTGTTTCCAAAAAGTTCAATTATGATGGATCTTGGTGTCGATATTTTTGGGTTTATCCTTTTTTGGACTTAAACTTTACTTCCTAAATCTCTGGGTTTGTGTCTTTCACCACATGTGGGAAGTTTACAGCCAGTATTTTTTCAGTACTCTTTCAGCACACTTTCTTCTCTCTTTTTGAGATTCGGATGATATTGTCTGATAGGACCCTATGGCTCAGTTCTTTTTATATTCAGTCTGTTTTCTCTTTTTTGGTCAGGTTAGATAAAGCCTATTGATGGGTCCTCAAGTTCAGTGATTCTGTCCTCTGTCTTTTCACTCTATTCTTGAGCCCATTCAAAGTTTTTTAAAAAGTTATGTTATTGTATCTTCCAGTCCTGGGGTCCTAAGCTTCCTCTTTCTACCTTTCAGAATTCTCTTCGGTTGTCTTCTGTATTATTTCCAGAATCTATCATTATACTTGGTGGAAATAGCAGGGATAGACAAGTCTACAAGATCTTTTATCAGTGTAGAAGTTCACCCACTTACATCTTTTTGCTACTGTTTCTAAAAAAAATACATTTTTACTACTTTATGGGGAATATGGGAGATTTAGGTGTAAATTTACACTTGTACATTAGGATATAGTGAGTGTTTTGCTCTTTAATCTGCGACAGTTTAATGGTGAAGTCGGTAACTTTTAAAGTGGCATTCCGAGAAGAGTGTATTAATTTTTAAAAATATCTTTTACGTTGTAGTGACAAGGTTTTAGCACATTTTTAAAAGATTCCTGGTACTAATTCCTCTTTAAATTTTCCCAGATTGCCTTTTTTTTTTTTTTTTTTTTTTTTTGGCAGAGGGGCAGGTGATGGATAGTGGTGGTGGTAATGAATGCAGAGATCTTATCTATGGATGAGTTATAATTGAGTTGTAATAAGCAGTAAGGTAGAAGCTAAGTTCCAGATCTCAATTCATATTCCAATGGTAACAACCTATTGAAATTTGAAAAACAGCACCACATGATCAAGCATGTTTAAAAAACTGGTTGAGTTAATCCAATTTCATTTTCCTCATGGCCTCATCTGTGATGACTGCAACTTGTGGCCCCTGACCCCCTTCCTTTTTTAAGATAGGTGGCCTGACACCTGCTTTTTAAATTATCCTAACTTTACTGTGATGTGCAGTCAGTCCATCACCCCAATCTTCACTCCCAACCCCTGGCAGCATCCCTTGTCCTAATATGCAGTTCTATAGATCTGAGTTAGTGTCTGACTCTATCATTTAATCATTGTCAGTGCTGAGAAGGAGGTGCACTCGTCAGAGCTGTAGTTGACCCAGGGCACTTTGTTTCTTCGCATGAGAAATCTCTAACCTCAGAGATGAGAAAAGCCTATCAATGTCATTCCTTAACCTCCAAATAAAGAGTCAGGACATCCAATGCAATAAAAACAAATACCTCCAAAAATTAGTAAGTACTGACAGAGAGTACCATATCTTTCCAAATGTGTAATATACAGGTAGTTAGCAAAAAGATGGGATGAGATAAATCAATGTCTTTGTATAATATTAAACTTTCTCAATGAACATTTCATAATTTCAAATAGATTTTATCTTTAGTGTGCAAATTACTCTGGTATTTATTTTAATGGTGAATTTTTTTGAATGTTATTTCTATAGAAAGTATGTATCACATGCAACTGACTGATTTCTAATAGAAGAAAAATAGATGGAATCATTTAAGCCTAGATATTGAAATATTGGGGGAAAAACATTGGTTAGGCTTAAATAAACGTTTCAGAGGTAAAATACAAGTGTTTAAGTATAGTTTCATTTTCTCTCTCTCTGTCTCTCACACATACACTTTACACCTGGGAGTAAAGGGAGCTATATGGGGAGGGTGGTAGTGAGGGACAAAGTAGATGTCATGTTTCTTATACTTGTCTTTCAGATGGAACCCCACTGAGCTGGTGGGTTGGAAGAACCAATGAAACACACACCTACTGGGGAGGTTCTCTGCCTGATGCTCAAAAGTGTACTTGTGGATTAGAGGGGAACTGCATTGATTCTCAGTATTACTGCAACTGTGATGCTGGCCGAAATGAATGGTGATTTCCACATGATTTCCCTGCACAAAAATGTGGTTTTTATTCTTTAATTATGCATAGTTAATTAAATGTCAGACAAGCTGGTACAATAAGGTAACTAAAGTATGTTCAAGCAAGCTGAAATACAAGTTTTGATGAAATATGATCAGTTAATCTAAGGATTAAATTTTATGACCAAAGATTTACTAGTTCGTTGTGAATACTATATAATGTGTTTTTTATTTTTCGTAAAAGAGAAACAGCTGTTAAGTTTTCCACTCACTGGAAATCAAATATCATTCTCTGCGAAGTTTAGTTAATTAATTAACGTAGTATTCATGTGGCAATTCAAAAAGCAAATTCCTCCAAATCTTTGTCTTAAATTGATTTGGGATATAATGCTGCATATTCTATCTTTCTTTTAGAAATTAACATTAACACAAGAAACTCTGAGAGGTCCTGCATAAAAGGACTGTGTTTATTTTGTAGAAGCAACAATTTCCCACACTCATTGAAATCTTCAGTGCAATAGCAAAGCTTCAAGCACCAACTGTTCTGTAGACCATACTTTGAAACAACTAACATAGACTTTCTGGAATTTGAAAATTATTTTGTAAGCTTTCCTTTGAGCAGAAACAGTTTTCTCATGTAGATTGCAATGCCTTTTTTTCAGAAGTTCTTTTTGAGGTTACTCTTGAAATGCATATTGGTTTTCTTTTTTTTATTTGTAATATGTAAATGTTTTCAACCTTTGGGTTCATGTCAGCAACTTAAAAAGCATTGTCATAAAACAACTAGATCATGTAGAGTACGTGCTTTAAAAAAAAACTTAGGCCAGGCACTGTGGCTCACGCCTGTAATCACAGCACTTTGGGAGGCCAAGGCAGGTGGATCACCTGAGGTCAGAAGGTTGAGACCAGCCTGGCCAATGTGGCAAAACCCCGTATCCACTGAAAATACAAAAATTAGCCGGGTGTGGCTGTGTGTGCCTGTAGTCCCAGCTGCTCAGGAGGGTGAGACAGGAGAATTGCTTAACCCAGGAGGTAGAGGTTGCAGTGAGCCGAGATCGCGCCACTGCACTCCAGCCTGGGCGACAGAGCAAGACTCCACCTCAAAATAATAATAATAATAATAATTAATAAATAAAAAATGTAATGGTCAATCCAGGTGTCAGTATAATTGATTTGGACATAAAATAGCTAATCTAAGCAGTAATTTGATTCCTAAAAATGGAGTTGTTTGGCCTGCATGGTAGTCCACTTATTTATCTGGCATAAAAAGTCTACTTTGCATCACTTTAAAAAATATTGTGAAGTTGGGAAAACTCACTTGAATCTACTGGAGCTTTCTATAGAATACATACTATACATTTACATGGATATTATTTTTAATCTTCCTCAAGTTCAAAATTACGAAATGATCATACAGATTTATGAGACACTCTTTTTGAATATTTTGATATGCAATCTTAATACAACTTTCTCTTACTTAAAAATGAATGCAGTTTTAGTGCAGTGAGTAACAGGAACAGATCTGATCCATAGTTTCAAATCTGACCACCAGTAAGTTTCAGGTCTGAAGTAATTTCCCATGAGTTAAAATGGTTTTGTACAATATTTTGTATGATGTACATTTTAAAGTGTCTGGTATGATAATGTGATGATGTGTGTTAGCTTTGGGCTCTAATGAGACAAACAGCGACCTTCAAATCTTTTGACGGACATCTTTAACAATCCTAGAGGTTTTCATTTCCTCCATTCCACAAGGGGCTCCTGCCTGTGAGGGCTCCAGCCCTCCAGCTCCTGGCTGTTCAGAAGACCTCCAGCTCATTGGTCTGTCCCCACCCCCATTCTCTACAGGTCAGAGAGGAGAGCATTGGCAGGTTATTACAAGAAAGCCAGAATGGCATATATGCTAGTGGCTTTATAACTTAGTTCGAAGAATGTTAACCGTTTTGTTTTGTTTTTGTTTTGAGACAGAGTCTCTCTCTGTCGCCCAGGCTGGAATGCAGTGGTGCGATCTCAGCTCACTGCAACCTGCGCCTCCCGGATTCAAGCGATTCTCCTGCCTCAGCCTCCCGAGTAACTGGGATTACAGCCGAGTGCCACACCCGGCTAATTTTTGTATTTTTAGTAGAGACTGGGTTTCACTATTGGCCAGGCTGGTCAACTTGTTTTTTTGTTACAGAACCTTCTGTTAGTATTAAGTGCATACTTTATTGTAGACTTCACGTATGCTTAGGGCAGTAACCAGAGGAACGTATCACTTGGAGCCACCTGTATTGAGTGACCCTCCCATGAACTGAGTTTGAGGAGGGGAATGGGAGGAACTGAGGTGGGTGCAGGTCCTCTGATACCCTTAGCCATGTCACTTCAGCACCGTCAAGGACTGCACTGGTGTGACAGAAGCCCTGGGCTTTCATTTGGAAAAAAATTTAGGAGAGAAGCAGGTTTTAAAAATTAACTCCCCTCCTACATTCAGAAGGGAGCATTGTGGAGTCATTTGCTTTTTAACCTTATTTTATTTACTTTGCAGCTTCCAGTAGACAGGTCTATCCAACAGTAAGACCACAAGCATTCTGAAATCCTATCCCAACTCTTGTAGATTGTTTTGTAAATGTGGGGGTGTGTATGGGGGTGGGGGGGTGGGAAATTACAATTTCTATTTTAATTTTTCAAATAAAATTGATTTTTCAGTTTATAAAAATGGAATTTACCAGTCTCATGAAATGAAAAGATTTATAATTGTAATAATTTAGATTAAGGTGTAGACATAAGAACATAAATCTTAGTCTTTATTACTTATTTTCTATTACTGAGGTGTGCCTAGTAAGGTTTTCCTGGTGGAAAGTTTATAATAAAAATAGTATTTGGGAATGAAAGTAAAGTGAAAGCTATTTTAAGTCTCTTCAGGCATATGTCCGTTAATGGGGCAGGCAGTATTGTTAATATAAACCATCGCCATTTTTCCATAAGTTGTCCCTGTAATCAGCAACTCGTCTAAAGCATATTACTTAAAAAAAAGTTTATGATCAGACAGTTCCTCAGGCACAGTAAGAATATTCTATCAAATAACTATAACATGCCAAAGATTTATTATAAAAACAAATATATTTAAAAGGCACTATAATGATTTAAAATATTGAACTATGCTGCAAGTCAATATATGTGTATAAATGTATAGTGGACTATGTTCAAATAGACCAATATATTCTCTAAAATATACATATAACATATAATTCAGCTGTCTGCAAAAATCCACAAGTTGTTTTGCTAATATAATGATGACACATGTAACTGTAATATTATTTTACTTAAGAATTTAAATAGGACTTTTGTGTGATTATCTTAGAGTCTTTAAAAGTAACCACAAAAAAAAGCATAAAATAAGATGGTTTAAATGCATACAAGTGTACAAATAATCATAATAAATATGAGTAAACTCTGTTCATTTAAAAACCAGACATTAGATTTTATCATATTGGATTTTTAAAGAAGCTATAGCTTATTTACAAAAGATAAAATATAAGCACTCAGTGAAGTTGAAACTAAAAGAATAGAAAATATTTACCGAGTAAATACAAATCAAAAGAAAGCAGATATAGCTGTATTATGTCAGACAAAGATGAAAAGCATTGTTAGGGATAAACTTGAACTCTATCTAATGCTGAGATAAACTCACTAGAAAGATCTCACTACACTTGTGTGTATCATCAGATTGTTTAAAATATGTAAAGAAGTGGCAGGGCGCCATGGCTCACGCCTGTAATCCCAGCACTTTGGGAGGCTGAGGCGGGCAGATCACGAGGTCAGAAGATCGAGACCATCCTGGCTAACACAGGTGCAACCCCGTCTCTACTAAAAATACAAAAAATATTAGCCAGGCATGGTGGTGGGCGCCTGTAGTCCCAGCTACTCGGGAGGCTGAGGCAGGAGAATGGCGTGAACCTGGAAGGCGGAGCTTACAGTGAGCCAAGATCACACCACTGCACTCCAGCCTGGGCGACAGACCAAGACTCTGTCTCAAAAAAAAAAAAAAAAAAAAGTATGTGTGTGTATATATATATATGTGTGTGTGTGTGTGTGTGTGTGTGTGTATATGTGTATATATATGTGTGTATATATATGTGTGTGTGTATATATATGTGTGTGTGTATATATATAGAGAGAGAGAATTAACAAATATGCAAAGGCAAATTGACACCCAAAACAGTGGAATAATTAACATAACATTTTTGGGAATGAGTAAGTGAAGCAGGTAAGAATATTTTAATATTATAATTAACAAACTTGATATAGCAGCCATATATCGTTTAGTAAGGAAAAATTATTTCTTTATAGAATGTATTATACATTATTGTTGAATAAGTATAAAAAATTTTGTAAATGGATGGAATCTTAACAAATTTTATGGAATTGTCATGATGGAAACTATATTCTTAACTGTAATCAATAATGAATATATAATTTTTAAAAGTTCATGCGTGTGTCAGTTAAAGACACAAGAGGAAATAAAATAGATGTAAGTGATAAAAAGTTTGGAAAAGAAACAAACCTGGCAGATATTGTAGATAATATGATTGCCTACATAGAAAATCCAAAATAATATAAAGAAATATCAGGAAAAATGAGAGTTCAGTAAGTTTGCTGAATTTATGGTCAGTCAGTATTGAGGAATTACTTGAATTTCTATAAAATCTTAAAATAATTACCATTACACACCTAGAAAAATTTTATTTGCAATATTAACAAAAATGTAGAGTTCTGTGGAATAACTGCAGTACTTTTATGGAAAAAATTACAAAATTACAAAACTTATTCAAGAGAATTAAGGACAGCCAAATAAATGGATTGACTCACTACTGTCGTGGATAGTATGACTCAGTATCTTAAAGCAGTAGTTCTCAATCGGGGGTGATTTCGACTCTTGGGACATTTGGCATTGTCTGAAGACATTTTTGTCATCACACAGAGAGGAAGGTTGTTTATATTAGTGTCTATTAATTAGAAATCAGGGTGCTGCTAAGCATCCTACAGTGCACAGGACAGCCCCCCCATAACAAAAAAAAATTAGCCCAAAATATCAGTAACGCTGCTGTTGAGATACCCTCTTTTAAAGTTGACATTCTCATCAAATTAGTCTGTAATTTTAACAAAATTCCAAAAAATGCCAAGTGGTTTTACTTGTGTGGATTGCAGCAACCTGGTTTTAAAATTCATATGGAAATTAAGGATGAAAGGATAAGCAAGATAATTTTTAAGATGAAAAATAAAGTGAAGAAACTAGTTCTGTTAGCTGTCAAGACATACTGTATTGCTGTAGTAATTAATGCAGGTTGAATTGGCCAGAAGATAGGCAATTAAACAGAAACTGAGAATCTAGAAATTTTTTAAGTGTGTTAGATGTGGATCATAATGATTTTATTATTGCTGACCTACTCCCCCAAAATAATCATTAACAGTTGGGCTGGGCGCGGTGGCTCACACCTGTTATCCCAGCACTTTGGGAGGCCAAGGCGGGCGGATCATGAAGTCAGGAGTTCGAGACCAGCCTGACCAACATGGTGAAACCCCGTCTATACTAAAAATACAAAAATTAGCTGAGCATAGTGGTGCACGCCTGTAATCCCAGCTACTCTGGAGGCTGAGGCAGGAGAATTGCTTGAATCCTGGGGGTGGAGGTTGCAGTGAGCAGAGATCACACCATTGCACTCCAGCCTGGGCGACAAGAGTGAGACTCTGTCTCAAAGAAAAAAAAAAAGTTAAAAAGTTGACTTAACATTTCTCCCTTTTAGCTTTCTTTGCAACCTCCCAAACTTATGGCCCTACTTTGCCTTAAATAAAGTTCCCTGGCAAATAATAAGTAGTAGCTTTTAGAAGTTTTCACACTTCCTAGGAAAGTACAATTTCCAGAACCGTAGGAATTTCTAATAAATAAAAATTTTAATAAAATATAAAATAAAAGCAAAAAGTCTTTGAAAGTTCTCTTACTGAATTTTTAATACTGCTGCAAGAGATTATGGTACCTATGAAAGCACTATTTCCAAGTGTAGACTATAGTATAAGCTTTAGAAAATAATAGAGAGAAAAGAAAAATGAGATGTCCCTATTAATTAGGAAGTTTTGAGGAAGTCTGATAACTATGACAAATCCTGAGTATTCTATTTTGATCTCCAAAGGTTGGGAATCTGCCTGTAACAATAAGAAACTGGTGAAAAACACTGGCTATCTTTATGCTCAGAATGAAAACACCAGACTTTCCAAAACAATTGAAAAAACAAGACTTTATTATAGTATCTGCCCTAATTAAACTGAAATGTGGATTTCATTTACACATTCTCAATATTTTGCACAGTCAGTATTGAAAATGGAATGAAACTTGGAGCTCCCGTGAAATAGATCTTTTAAAATACAAGCATCCTCCATAAATAATTAAATTGCATTTTCTCTACTAGACTATCTTGCTAAAATGATGATCACAGAAGTTGAAATGGTAATTTTTAATGGCTACCACCACATTAATAAAAAATTTCCTAGACCTACCTCATTCAGCAGGAGACATATTTCTAGCTTGTCTACCATCAATCCACTCTAAAGCTGAATGGTGATGCCTTTAGATAATCCATATTCTGTTCTTTGCATAAAAATGAATAACAGAATCTTAACTAGGTAAAGCAACAGGGTTTTAGTCTGAATTTTAGAAATAAGCTTTCTTTACCATTAAGTGTATTTTTTCAGGGAATAAACTTAAATAATATAGCCACTTTATTTTAGTTTTATATTTTCCAATTTGAAAGTTTGATACCTAAAGTCTTTTATAAAAGAAGTTGATTAATGGGTACAAAAGTCGAGTTAAGTAAAAGAAATTCTAGTATTTGATAGAACTAGAGAAATTATAGTTAACAGTAATTTATTGGATATTTCAAAATAGCCAGAAGAGAATTGTAATGTTCCCACCACAGAGGATAACTGCTCAAAGTGATGGATATCCCAGTTATCCTGATTTGATCATTATGCATTGTATTCTAGTATCAAAATAGCACATGTGCCCCCAGTATATGTACAACTCTGACATGCCAATTTAATTTTTTTTAATTCAGAAAGCCTTATTTTGAAAATGCAAAAGTGTTGCAATGATGAAATATCAATTATTGTGATCTTTTGCCACAAATGCATACAAAAGAAGGTTTGAGAACTGGGCAATTTAAAAAATACAGTATTTACTAGATACTGTGGAGTTTCTAACCATAACTGGACTAAGAGTGTTTTGTCTGTAAATCAGAATGTACATGCAGTTGAGACATATATGTGATAAAATATAACCAAAAGTATATAAATATAAGCATTTTGTTATATATGCATATATGCAATATTTATTATTGGCCAAATATTTATTACATATACAGTTACATACACATATATAATAAAATACTTTTGCAGCAGAGTAGACAAATGCCTTTATTTTGGCCAGAGACAAAATTAGTGGCATAGCTAAGACCAGGACCCCAGGTTCCCCTAGGGGATCCTCCAGGTCTCTTTGTATTGGACCCAGACGTGTGCATTTATTTTCCCAGTCACATAATTAATACTCATGGTATTCAATAGGCTGTGTGCTTTCAGAAGGCAGAGACTAAAATATATTTTTTACTCTGTGTCCTCAATTCCCAGGACAATGTCTGTTTGACAAAAGGTGAGCGCTGAGTGTGTGGGGTTTTTTGTTTGTTTTTTGTATTTTTTGAGACAAGGTCTCACTTTGCCACCCAGGCTGGAGTGCAGTGGCGCACACATGGCTCACTACAGCCTCTACCTCCCAGGCTCAAGGGATCCTCCCACCTCAGCCTCCCATGTAGCTGGGACTACAGGTGTGCACCATCACACCCAGCTAATTTTTGTATTTTTTGTAGAGACGGGGCCTCACTATGTTGCCCAGGCTGGTTTCGAACTCCAGAGCTCAAGCAATCTGCCCACCCCAGTCTCCTAAAGTGTTGGGATTACAGGCATGAGCCACTGTGCCCGGCCTGTGTTTGTTGCCTGAACTACTGGGAGCAGTGTTTCACAGACCACTTTCACACTCATTAGTCTATGTATTACTTATAAGGGTGTAGTATGTATTTGGTTTTGAATCTGTGGGATTCATTTTGCATTTACAAAGTTAACAAGGAAAGAAATACCCAGTAATCATAAAAGGACTTTAGAAAATAATGATAAGTTAATATTCTGCAAAATGAATATCTAAATCCAGTGTTACTATTTTTATTTGTAATGAATAATCACTTAGATATTATTCTAAGACAATTTTAGAAGGGAAGTTACCTTCTTGATTTTTCCCCTTCTCTGTAATCATTTAGATCAGGAATTGGCAAACGGGTCAGGAGTTGATAACCTCTTGCTTTGGGTGAAATCCAGACCACTAGTCTATTTTTGCATGGCAGTGAGCTAAGAATGTTTTCTTTACATTTTTAAAAGGTTGAAAAATAAAAAGAATATTTCATGTCTTATAAAACTTGTATGAAATTCAGATTTCATATCCATAAATTTTTATTGCAACCCAGCCATGCCTGTGTCTGTGGCTGCTTTCACACTTTGGTGGCAGAGTTGAGTAGTTGCTGTGAGAAGCTGCATGGCCTGCTGAGCTAAGATAGCTTGCTGTATGGTCCTTTACACAAAGTGTTTGCCCATCCCTGATTTAGATTCATGGTAGTCTCTGTGCTCTCAAAATATTGAAAATGTTAAGTATTCTGTTAAGCTCTATGATGTTGGTTTCAAATTGAGATAAGAGATCAGAGTTAATTTTGCCCGTATGTTAATCAGAATAATTTTAATGGTTTCGGTTGTTGTTCTTTAGGACTAGTGACACAATAGTCCTTTCCCAAAAGGAGCACCTGCCAGTCACTCAGATTGTGATGACAGACGCAGGCCGACCACATTCCGAAGCAGCTTATACACTGGGGCCACTGCTCTGCCGCGGAGATCGTAAGTAGTGTCAAGAAAAAGCTTTATTTTCATAATAACTTTTTTTGGTTATAAAGGAGTAGACAAATGCCCTTGTTCTTGCCAGAAAGAGAATAGTGGCAGTACTAGGACTGGGGCGAATATCAGGAAAACACACATACCATAAAGGCACAGTCAGTACTGAAGATCTGTGTTTCCTTACTGAAGCATTAGTTTATAGAAAATGAATCATCTTTGTTTTAACTTATTACTTGCTTGGCTGGATTTATTATCAATTGATTGTATTTTTTCCAGAACAATCATGAGATGAACTATTTTCTGAATTCTAAGGGATATTTATTCATTGCCCTTATACTCTTCAGACAACTATAGTGGTAGGAAATTATTGGACACTCTCTATTTTCTGACCTCTGTACATTCTGTTTTACATTACATGGCACCGAATGTGTATTAATCTCTTTCCTGCAGCATTTTCGTTCATGGGTGGCTTTCATGGTCAAGTCCTCGCTCCTCCACCTCAGTGGCACTATAAGCCCAGGGTTCTTAGAGGATCTACCTACTGCGTAGCACGGGAACCACAACTAAGCTAGTAAAAATCTTCTTTCCCTGAGAAAAATTTTAATAGTGTTTCTTACCCACTAGCATCATACATTGCCGTGGAGAAGTCTGAGACTAAATGTATTTTTATTTCCTGCTCTACCTCAATGTGTGGAGGCTACTTCTGAGAGAGGTGGTTCACCAAGGAGCCTGAGCCTCTCTGTACATTCTTGCCGAGTGTGCCAGATGGCGTGGCGTCTCCATCCCCTAACACCAAGCAGTTTCTGTAGCCAGTCGTGTAGGCAGCTAAGTAGTTCAAAGAGAACACAACATCACTATCGATGCGTACTCACTCCCCAGAGAGGGGGGGGACCGGCTTGTCTCCTGCTTGATGAAGGAGTCCCGGACCCTTGTCTGGGGGCTCCTCATCTGAGATGCAGACCTACCCACTGTGTGTGTAGCATCCACCTGGGCTGATGGATTGTGTTGCCCTGTGAAATTTGGAGATAGGGGGAACCAATGCAAATATTCTGACACTCATGCTGCATGCTGTGCTGTGAGCAGTAAAGTTCTTTAACTCTGACCTGGAAATTTTGTGTTTTCTATCAGCATCCATTAATCTGTGGCAAGCTAAATTGTTAGCTTGCAAGTAGGGTGAAATCTCAGACTCCTCACAGCTCTTGACAGATATGTTATCCTTCAATTTCAAAAACTTATCCAGAATATGCCTTGGCATTAATTATTCTGTTAATTTTTTCTAAAATGAAATATGCTTATTTTGACCGAAATATTCTGTTCTCTTTTAAGAAAAAATGGTTTTTATTATGCTTTGAATACTTTGTTTCATTTGTTGGATTCTCTGCATCTGGGACTGTTGACTTGTTTCCTTTGCCCCCCATACATTTTTTCTGTTTCTTCCAATGGCTTTAATCTCTTTGTCCTTCTCCTATGCATTCAATATGATTATTCTAAGCTTCTCCCAATGTCAGTAATTTGTTATCAGCTGTGTTCTCCATTTCCAGATATTTCCGATTTATCTGTTACCTCTGTGATTTTGTTTGGGTCTTTGATTTTTTTTCCTTAAAAATCATCTTTTCTGTTTATCTCATATTTTAGCTCTTATTTTACTGAATTGGTTTTTATATTATTCCCATAGTGTAAAACTCTTATGAAATTTTTCTTTCCTTGTGTTCTCTCTTAATTTCCTTCCTCCATCCCATTCAGATGGCTCCTTCCTTCCTTCCTCCCTCCCTCCCTCCCTCTTTCTCTCCCTCCCTTCCTCCCTCCCATTCAGTCTGGCTTTTATACTCCTTCCTTCCTTCCTTCCTTCCCCACTCCCTCCCTCCCTCTCTTCTTTCTTTCTCTCTCTTTCTTTTCTTTCTTTCTTTTTCTTTCTTTCTTTCCTGTCTTCTTTTTTCTTTTTCTTTCTCAGTATGTTTGCACTGTTTCAGCGCTTTTTGAAACATTGTTTATACTTGTAGTGTAAGTCTACACCACAGGTCTGTCTGGCAGGTCTGTCCAGACATTTAATTCATTTATATGGAATGGAGTTGAATTCTTCTCGACATTCATCTCTTCACAATCAGACACATACTTCTTGTCCCTTCTGAACTGCAATAGCAGGACTAGAGTTGGTCATCCTATCAATTTTTTTTCCCATAATCTAAGAGCTCAAGGGAGGGATCTGTTGAATTGTATCTGATTTACTGGCCATTCTCTGTGCCGTTTTATCTTCAAGAATTATTAAATGTCCTGTGCCAGGCATCACACTGAAGCATGGAGGGTATATCTGCAGGCTTCAGATGCCTCCCACAGTTCAGTAATAACCCCTGGAAATTTGTAGCTTTTTCCCCTGCCTATTGATACTCTGACATCAAACACTGGTTTCTAGGTACTCTGTACTTCTCAAAAACATTTTCTAGATTATTTTCTCTCTGGAAATTTACCTCAGCCCTTCATTTCTCTCCAAACGTGGCTGTATTTGTGAGACTCTTCAGGATATGTCATTCACCTTCAGTTTATATCCTACTTTCAGCAAGACTTCTGAAAGTATGGAGAAGAGAAAGTGTGATATTTGAAATATTCCCTTCTCTTTTTGGGAGACTGAGATGGGAGGATGGCTTGAGCCTAGGAGTTCAACACAAGCCCGGACAAGATGGTAAGACCCCGTCTCTTACAAAAAAACTAAAAATTAGCTGGGCATGGTGGCCTGTAGTCCTAGCAACTAGGAAGGCTTAGGTGAGATGATCTCTTGAGCCCAGGAATGTGAGGTGGCAGTGAACTATGATCATGCCACTGCACTCCAGCCTGGGTGACAAAGTGAGACCTCATCTCTAAAATAAATAAATAAATTGATTAATGAAGAAAGAAAGAAAAATAAAATATTCTCTTCTGTAAAACTTGTAGATTCCTCTTCCTTTCTCTTTTCCTTTCCTTATCTTCATCTCTGTTTTCTTTAACATAACACTTATTGATTCTTTTCCCTTCTTTTGGGGCAGCTGGGACTAGGGGATCTGCAGGGATAGGGTCAAGGAATGACCACTGGGTTAGAAGCTTGGTTCCACACTGGGGAATGAGCAAATATGTAAATACAGTGAGGAGAGTAGGAGTGACCTTCTCACTGAGGAAAGAGTTATACATGTGGGAAGGAGGAAGACTGTAATGAACCCTGTGGTGCTGGGTTAAAAACGGAGGTATCCACATGAACTCATGGATTTTAATATACATAATAGATAACTGTAGAATACACATAGAAGAGAGAGACTGTGTGTGTGTATGTGTGTGTGTGAGAGAGAGAGAGAGATACAAATACACATATTTCCTAGCTGACTACTGAGAGGGCTAGAAGCAATGACACCCTAGTAAATAGCCTGCAGATCTCGGCTTCTAAACACCATTTTCTATCATTCTCTGCTAAAAAAGAAACCACGACTCCTTGAAGAAATGGCTGATTCCAGAAATGTGGCAGAGAAAATGTAAGATGAGCCTGGATCATTTTGTTATGACAAAGGGGAAAGAAAAAGCTGAAAAAGGCATGGGTGTCAGCTTAAAGGAGCTGCCACATTTGAGACAACTTAAGCATCAAAATAAGTTATAGAGTATAAACCATTGAATAGAATACAAATTCAAGAGTGATGTGAATAAACCAATGGATAAATACACAAATAAATTAGTAAAAGATCAAGAGAAAAGCTATTTCTTGGTTTGTTTGTTTGTTTGTTTGTTTTTGAGATGGAGAGTTGCTCTGTCACCCAGGCTGGAGTGCAGTGGCACGATCTCACCTCACTGCAAGCTCCGCCTCCCGGGTTCACTCCATTCTCCTGCCTCAGCCTCCCGAGTAGCTGGGACTACAGGCACCCACCACCATGCCTGGCTAATTTTTTGTATTTTTAGTAGAGACGGGGTTTCACCATGTTAGCCAGGATGGTCTGGATCTCCTGACTTCATGATCCGCCCGCCTTGGCCTCCCAAAGTGCTGGGGTTACAGGCGTGAGCCACTGCACCTAGCCGAGAAAAGCTATTTCTGACGGAGGCATGTCAACCAATTAATGTGGAAGGAATGACAGAGCTTAGAAGATCACCACTGGCAGCCATCAGAATAAAAATTCAATCAGGAGCCATCAATATATTGTAAAACCATTGGATGAAGAAATTTTTAACTGGGTAAAGTTGTGTTTCTGTAACCTTAAAGTGTCAAAAATACATGAATTACAAAGAGAAAAATAATAACTTCATGTTGGAGAAAGTGGACAAATGCCACTTTACAAAGCAGTTGAAACTAACAGGACCAGTGATGGGCTGATCAGCATTGCTGCCTGCTGCTGCGACACACTGAGGAGAACACAGCAGCCCTTCTGTGGTATTTTTGACAAAAATGCACAACATGAATCCAATCATGAGTATGTCAGACAAATCCAAGTTGAGGAACATTCTGCAAGTCAACTGAAAAATACCAAAAAGTCAAAAGTACACAAAAGATAAGAAAAGACTCACACACTGTACCAGAATGAAGGACACTAAAGAGGCCTGAGGAATACATGTGATGTGCAGTCCTGTGATGGGTTTTGGACAGAAGGGAACAAATAAGCTTCTTCTTGTTCTTGATTGTTCTTGCCATGAAAGGAATTAAGACAGTGTGTGTGTGTGTGTGTGTGTGTGTGTGTGTGTGTGTGTGTGTGTATGTGTATGTGCAGGAAGGAAAGCAAGAGTCTGTGTTCTGGCTTCTGGAGTCATTTATCCAACTACCTCCTTCAAATCTCCACTTGGATGCCTAATAGATATCTCAAATGAAACATGTCCCAAACTGAGCTGCTGCTCGAACCTGCCTCTTTAGAATTATTTCCCCTCCCAGTTAGACCAAAAACCCCAAAGTCACCTCAGACTCCACCCTTCTTCTCACATCTTACCGAGTTCTTCAGTAAGTTCTGTTGGTCGTACCTTTGAGGTGATTCTGAACTTGACCCTGTCCCTACTGTGTTGCTGCGCGATCCCCTGACTGGTCTCATTGCTTTTGCTTCGCTTTTGTTTGGCCTTCTCTGAACACAGAATTCTAATCCTCACCATAATCACCATTTAGCTCTTGATGTCATCAGTATATGACATGGATGCTCAGAACCCCCAGTGAAAGCTCATATAGATTCTATTAATGTATTTAGCAGTCATAATCCTGTAAGTATCAAATGTAGCTGTTATTTTTGTTTCATGACTTTTTTTCCTTTTGTCGTTTTCTCTATTGTAAACAGAGTCATTCTGGAATTCAGCTTCCTTCAACACTGAGACTTCATACCTTCATTTCCCTGCTTTCCACGGAGAACTCACTGCTGACGTGTGCTTCTTTTTTAAGACCACAGTTTCCTCCGGGGTGTTTATGGAGAACCTGGGGATCACAGATTTCATCAGGATTGAGCTGCGTGGTAAGCTCGCCACTCTGGACAAGTCACAGGGTACCCATTATTTAGCAATAAAAGCTTTAACTCAACAAAATGTTAGTATTTCATTCTTATTTTGTGATTCTATTTCATTATAAAATACTAAACTTCTATGATTTTAGGTAATTTTTTTTTTTTTGAGAGAGGGAGAGAGGATTTTGCTGTGTCACTCATGCTGGAGTGCAGTGGCATTATCTTGGCTCACTGCAACCTCAGCCTCCTGGGTTCAAGCAATTCTCCTGCCTCAGTCTCCTGAGTAGCTGGGACTATAGGCAGGCACCACCGTGCCCAGCTAATTTTTGTATTTTTGGTAGAGGTGGGGTTTTCCCATGTTGACCAGGCTGGTCTTCAACTCCTGGCCTCAAGTGATCTGCCTGCCTCGGGTTCCCAAAGTGCTGGGATTACAGGTGTGAACTGCCACACCCAGCCAGTAATCATTTTTAAGAGAAAATAAAACAATGAAGCATGAAGCACGTAATAATCCATTAAAATGTCATGCCTTCCCTAGAGTACAGAACAGCAGAGCCAGAGCTTTAAACCAAACTCATCACATTGTTTACTGAATTCCAAAAATATTTGACCAGACATATTGTTTTTTATGTACCCAAAGCTTAATTTATGACTGTCAAAATTTACATTCAGTGTTTATAGAATTAGATGAGACTTTGAGCCGTTTGTAAATAAAATTACTGAAACCTCAAAAACAAATACTATTTGGTATTCTAGCTATAGGTACATAGCTATGGGTAGTCCAGCTATGGGTACATATCTCTACTATTTAGGACTTAACAAGGTTGAATTGTGAACTCTGAGGATAAATATGTTAAAATCCGTTCTGTTTTCCTCCAGGATACAGATTTATTCTGCCCCCACCCCAACTCACAGTCCCGTTTTTCTGCATCGCCGTCATTATCTCCTTCCATCCTGAGCGTGCCTTCATGTTTTCCTGTGTCTGCACAAGACTCAATTTTCTGTGAATTTGCTTGAGCAATATTCATATCTAATATTTCTAGCTCCCACAGAAGTGACCTTTTCCTTCGATGTGGGGAATGGACCTTGTGAGGTCACGGTGCAGTCACCCACTCCCTTTAATGACAATCAGTGGCACCACGTGAGGGCAGAGAGAAATGTTAAAGGAGCGTCTCTTCAAGTTGATCAGCTTCCTCAGAAGATGCAGCCTGCCCCTGCTGATGGGCACGTTCGTTTACAGCTCAACAGCCAGCTCTTCATTGGTGAGTGCTGGTGGTTTATAACTGAATTTAGTGTGAGTCCAGAGAGGGACCAAAAGAAAATAAGAACTGTGATGTACTGAGAGCAACAGTTGCCAACAACAACTACTGCTTATTGGTACTATTTGCTGATAACCTGGTAGGTTCCAGGAGCTTGCTGTGTGCTTCTTATTTGACATTTCTTTTTTTGTTTGTTTGTTTTTGTTTTTGTTTTTGTTTTCAGACAGAGTCTCACTGTGTCGCCCAGGCTGGAGTGCAGTGGTGCAATCTCAGCCCACTGAAACCTCCACCTGCCGGGTTCAAGCGATTCTCCTGCCTCAGCCTCCTGAGTAGCTGGGATTACAGGCGCAGGTGCCACCACGCCTGGCTAATTTTTGTATTTTTCATAGAGACACGGTTTTACCATGTTGGCCAGGATGGTCGTGATCTCTTGACCTGATGATCCACCCACCTCAGCCTCTCAAAGTGCTGGGATTACAGGCGCGAGCCACCGGGCCCTGCAGTATCTCAGTGTTTAGGTATCAATGTTTAGGTATTGTCATCTGTTTACAGATGAGATAGCCAAGCCTCAGAGAAGTGGAGTAACCAGCTAATGAGAGGGATCCCAGGATAGCCGACCCCCAAACTTGAACCATTCACATTGCAGAGGATTGGCATATGTGACAGCTATATTTTATCAACACTATTAGTGAGATCATTAGACATTTTTATCCATTCCTTCAGTTTCACTTCTCGGTGGAGTTAGAGAGCTTGTAATTGGGACAGAAGTCCTCCAGGGTCCACTCAAAACCAGATCGCAGGATACCCGCTGATTGGAAGCAGCACTGCGCACCTCCCCCGCGGCCAGGCTTCCAGGAGCCCACTCCCGGTTTTCCTCGCTGCTGTTCTCACTTCTGGGGCTCTCTCATCACAGGCTCCTTGTTTATAACCTGGTCTGGCTCATCTGTTCTTGCACTCCATTTATTTAAAGGTGATAGCTCTGGAAGTCTTTCCTTTAGTTTGCTTACTTACTGTTTTATCACTGTTGTTTATTTTTCCATATTGCTTTTGAAACTATTCTAACTTAGGAGCTACACAGATTAAAGCTCTCACTTGTTCATTTCTTAAGTGTTTTAAAGTGAATAAGGATGCAATCTAATTAAAACTGGACTAAATCACAAATTATCATCCAACCTAATTTACAGGGAAGGGTAGATACAACTTCCAGGTACTAAATGCTACACGTGAACCCACGTATGTATGTGGATGTGGATGGGGTGTTATACCATGACTTCCTAAAACCTAGCTTCAGGCGTGGTTAGCTCTTCTATTAAGGTGCAGTGAGGCTTTTTCAAAGGACATGAAACCATCAAACTACTGGAAAGGAGGACTACACGGAGGGGTCAAACCAAGAACTTGATTTTCTCACTTGTAATCTTGGAGATTATTTAAGGGAATGCCTAGAAACACAATTAGCGTAAAATTCACCTAGAATCAGCATTCATTGCGGTGGATGAATCACTGGCTTCAGAATCACCCACAAAGCTGATTGATAGTTCAGATTTGGGGCCCCCACCTTAGGCCCACCGAATTGGAATCTCTGGGAGGAGGCTAAAAACTGCATTTTCCAGAAACTCTAGGTAATTTCCATGCTCCTAACATTGAGAATTGTCGCCTTCATAATGGTGTTTGTCACTACACAGGTGTTGTAAACCTCTCTAAATGGTTTCTTCAGCATTCAAGTTTGACATGACAAAATGTGCATGCATGCAGTATTCAATTACTGTTTAGCACTGTACCCTCTGAGAGGAGGAGATCCTGGGGTACGGTGTCACCCCTTCCAACTTCCCCTCCTTTGCCTCTCCATTTCCTTTCACACTTTATTTTTAGAGTCCATCCAAGTAAGAAATTATCCATATATATTTTTATTATTGTGAAAAATTTGGAAGTTCATACCTAACCATTATAATGCACATTCTTATTCATAAAGAAATTAAAATAATGTTTGATGAATACACATTCTTATTCCTAAACAAAGTAGAATAGTGTTTGATGTGGTTTATATTATGTATTTTGTTCTTTGTGAAGGAACTAAAGTGAAATTCTTTCTTACCTGAAGTTAAGGAAATGTTTTAGGACTATTTGCCAGACTCACCATGTTTGAAAGTTATGTAAATAAGTGTTTTATTCAATGTCATTTAAAGCTTCATGTCTCATAACAGTTACATTTTCAAAATTGTGTATGTTCACAAAATTTTTTGACACATTGTGATTATTGCCACTCTCCATAAGGCCTGAGTTTGACATGGACATAAAATCCTGAATAAAATACCAAGGAACACATTTCTATTTGCAGTGTTTCCGTTGTAGGTGGAACGGCCACCAGACAGAGAGGCTTTCTAGGATGCATTCGGTCTCTGCAGTTGAACGGGGTGGCCCTGGATCTGGAAGAAAGAGCCACAGTGACGCCAGGAGTGGAGCCAGGGTGTGCAGGACACTGCAGCACCTATGGACACTTGTGTCGCAATGGAGGGAGATGCAGAGAGAAACGCAGGGGGGTCACCTGTGACTGTGCCTTCTCAGCCTATGATGGGCCGTTCTGCTCCAATGGTAAGTGTGACCAAGGAGCAGGTTATAGGGAAAGTACATGAAACTTAAATAACATGAAGAATGCTTCTGGCATTTGATATTATAAAGAGAGGATAAGATTGAATTATTTGAAATGGAATAATTTCTGTACCAAATTCCTCTATTGAATTTAGAAGGGATATGACTGTTTTTGAAAACTTAAGGCTATCAGTCCTCTCTGGGTTTCTTATTTAGAAGATCTCTGGGTTACCCCTAGCATCTGTTCAATGCTAATCCTCTTGAAATAATTTGGTTTTCAAAACTCTGTCCTTGTACTGTTCTAATTTTAACATCAGTAAACCATCATTGTTATTTTTGTTTTTAATTTTTAGAGACAACGTATTGCTATTCAAGCCTCTCTGTTGCCCAGGCTGGACTTGAACTCCTAGGCTTGAGCAATCGTCTTACCCATTGTCCCTTGTGACAATGACTTGAAGTGATTCAAAAGGCCTTTATAGAAATGTCTTTTCTTATAAAACAAGCATACTAACTAGAAGGGGAAAATAATATTTAAATATTGACAGTCATTAACAGGATCACTCAAACACTGTGCTCTATGATGTTTGACTCTTCTTAGAGGAGTGCAGTGGGGTATCACACAGCTTCTGCTCAGGTACAATCATGTTTTCAAAAGAAAAGGGCTGGGCGTGGTGGCTCATGCCTGTAATCCCAGCACTTTGGGAGGCCAAGGCAGGCGGATCACGAGGTCAGGAATTCAAGACCAGCCTGGCCAACATGGTGAAACCTCATCTTTACTAAAAATACAAAAATTAGCCGGGCATCCCAGCTACTCGGGAGGCTGAGGCAGGAGAATTGCTTGAACCCGGGAGGCAGAGGTTGCAGTGAGTAGAGATCGCACCACTGCACTCACTCCTGGGCGGCAGAGTGAGACTCCGTCTTGGGGAAAAAAAAAAAAAAGAAAAGGAAAAAGGGACTGATTTTAGTATTAAGTACTCTGTACTGACTTATTTAATATATTTATAATACTTTTATGAAACCTCTTACAATATTGAATCATCAGAGCTAAAATGTAGTTGTGTTTTTAAGTGTCTCTGGGCTGTTACACTTACTATTTTTAGCAGCAAAACAGGCTTTAATCACTATAAAATTGTGTGACTTTCAAAAAAATTTTGAGGATTCATTATCTAGAAGTCATTTAAATTTTCAAAAGGTCTTGCATGTGTCTTTTATCATTCCTGAAGATCTCTGTGCTAACAAATCTCATAGCTCTGGTGCAAATACAGAGCCCTTTTTATATCTCAAGCCAACATCAGGAGTAACCACTCCTTCATGAGCACAAGTGCTGATTTCTAAATCATTCCCAATCCACATTTGCTAAGTGCAATTTGAATGTTATTTTATAACCCAAAATTTTCTTAAGGATAGACATTATATAGTAAGTAAATGGAAAATGGTCCTCCAGTGGCTGGGGCATATGTTATAGTTAGATTACCTAATCTAATAAGAATGATCTGGATTTTCAGTAAATTCTTTATATTTTATGGAAATGGAAAGAGTGGAGTAGTATTCCAAGACAATGATCATCACCCAACATTGTCTTTTTATTTACAGATATATTTGGGGGGTGTGTGTATGTGTATGTGTGTACTAAACACATTTTTGGAATTAACTTGATATAAAATTAAAATATCAACCTTTCATAAAGTGTTTTAAGAGAATCTGAAAGCCCTTCAACTTTTCTCTCTCAGAATACTGTAGATACCACTTTGGATTAGCCTTTCTATCCAGACAGTAAATTTGAGAAACATCTTTGGCATAAAAGAACATTTCTAAATTCTGACCTTGAAGGAGGGTTGGTCTTCAAATCACCTTTTCTCTAGTTACTTCAGGAGCTCTGTTTCATGCTTCCTACAAAGCAAATCGATTTTTAAAGAGGAGGTAACATTCAAATAAAAAACCTGGTACTCTGGCATTTCCAGGCTGGCCACATAAGGAGCTCTGTAAACCCTCTCTCATACGAAACAAGCATAACTAGTAAAAATTATTATTTTAAAAAACAACTATTGAAAGTCTTTAGAAGATGTCCTAAGGAAATACATCAAATGAAGAAACATTTATTAATCAGTAATAATAGTGAGAGTTTGAGGCATTTAAGCCAAGACCCTCTCCCAGCACCTCCCCATCCCTAGCTCAGTATGACGGAAGCTCCACTCTATATGGATATAGCCAAGAAGCCAGAGGTTTCCTCTCTACCCAGGTCCTACTCCAGAGATACTGCATTACCCCAAGATTGGGTGCCAGCATTTCTTGTCATCCCCAGTTTTGTAGGACAGAAGCTCTGTCCACGCAGAAACAGCTGAGAAGTCTGGGGTTTCCTTCCTACACCAACTCCTCATTCCAGGACATAAGGTCTTCAGGTGTGGCAGCTGGAAAATCCTGTGTCCCAATTGCCCTCACTCCAGCTTACTTGTAAGGAACAGTTTCTCCACCAGGAGAGGCAAGGCAAGAAGTTACCTTTCCCACCCTGTGCCCTACTTGTAAGCAGAGGTTTTACTACAAAGGAGCAGGCCACTCTCACTCCCCACAGCTTCAGAGCAGTGAGGCACATTCAACCAAGAGGTAGAGGGAGGCCATGAAAATACACAGCTTGGTAGCCCTCCCCAAGTGAACTGATTTCTATTTGGAACAGAGGATGGATAAGTTTAAGCATAGTGGTATGAAGATATTGGCAGTAAGCAATTAAGAGAATTTTGATAACTCCAAGAGAGTAATGAGTTAAGCCAGGGAAGTTTAACAGAGAAAAGAAAAAAGAGTCAGCAAACTTGAAGCAAGATCAATAGAGATTATGTATCCTGAAGAATACAGAGAAATAATAATGAAAAAAATAGATCATCAGAGAAATATCAGACATAACTAAGCACACCAATATATACGTAATTGAAAATACCAGGAGAGAGAGAAAGGATCAGAAAAAAATATTTGAAAAATAATGGTTGAAAACACCCCCAAATTAATAAAAATCATTAATCTAAGATACAGAAACTCAGTGAAATACAGATGACACAAAGAAGTTTATATCCAGACACATCTTATTAAAAACTTTGAAAGCCAAAGTCAAGAAGGAAATTTTAAAAGCAGTAAGAGAAAAATCATATATACAAGGAAACGCCAGGATCAACAGCTACCTTCTAATCTGAAAGAATGGAGGCCACAGGACAGTGAGATAACATATTCAAAGAGATGAAAGAAAACTATTGTCATGAAGAAACTTACACCCAGCAAAACCGTCTTTCATGTTCAGTAGCACAGGATGACTATAGTTAACAATAATTTATTGTATATTTCAAAATAACTAGAAGAGTGGAACTGGAATGTTCCTAACAAAAAGAAATGATAAATGTTTAAGGTGATGGATATCTCAGTTACCCTGATTTGATCATTACACATTGTTTGGTTGTATCAAAATATTACCTCTACCCCATAAATAACGTACAACTATTAGGTATTCATAAAAACTAAAAATTAAAAAAGATAGTAAATATATCCCTACTTACAAAAAACAGAGAATTCACTGCTATTAGCCTGCATTAGAGGAAATAACAAAGAACGTTCCTTCAGGTTGAAGGGATATAACCCAGACAATAATCTGAATCTACACACAAAAAACAAATAGCACTAATAAAGGTAAGTGTGCAGGTAATTATAAAAGAAAGTATAATGTCATATTTCTTACCCTTTTCAGTGCTTAACTATTTTAAAAAGCAATGTATAAAACTATAATAGAGAATATACAAATATATAATGTATATATTTTCATTGTTGGGCCTATAGAAATATATTACAAAAAAACAGCACAGAGGAGACAGATGGGAGCAAGGCTGTACTGAAATAAGGAATGACACCAAATGGTAACATGAGTCAGAGGAACAAAGAAAGAGAACTAGAAATGGTAAATAAGAGAGTTTATAGACAAAGTCTATAAATATTTACTTGATCTTTTTTTTTCTCAGATTTTTTAAAAAGAGAACAAATTATATAAAATAATAATGGGTTTGGTATGCATAAAAATAGTTCCAAAACAGAAGAAATAGAGCTATGTAGAAATAACTTTTCTAAATCTCACTTGTATTAAGTTAATGTAAACCTGAAGCAGATTATTGATAAGATATATATAATGCAAGCTTAGAGCAATCACTAAAGAAAATAAAACATTGTCGTGAAATATATTAAAAGACCTATATACCAAAACGTAGTAGGATTTATCCCAGGATTTCAGGAGTGGTTCAACAAATGAAAATCAGTCAACATATTACACAAGATTAATAGAATGAGAGGGGAAAAAAAACATGATTATCTTAATTGTTGCTGAAAAAAAAACATTTAACAAACTCCAGTAACCTTTCATGATTGAAAAACAAAAACACTCAATAAACTAGGAATAGAAGGGAACTTTCTCAATATGATAAAGGCCATATATGAAAAACCTGCAATTAACATCATACTCAATGGTGAAAGCTTCCGTAAAATAAGAAACACGACAAGTATGCCCAGTTTTACCACCTCTATTTATCATAGTACTGGAAGTTCCAGCTAAAGTCATTAAGCAAGAAGAAGAAATAGAAGGCATCCAAATTTCAATAGAAGGGCTATCTCTCTCTCAGATTACCTTATCTTATATGTAGAAAACTCTTCAGGAAATAAAAGCTGTTAAGAGAAAATAAATAAATTCAGCGAAGTTGCAGGATACAAAATTAACACCAAAAATTTGGTTGTATTTCTCTACACTAGCAATGAAAAATCTGAAAGTGAGATTAAGGAAACAATTCCATTTGCAATATCATCAAAAAGAATAAAAAACTTAGAAATAAACTTAACCGAGAAAGTGAAAGACTTAGACATTGAAAACTATAAAACGTTGTTGAAAGAGATTAAAGAAAGAACTAAATAGATGGAAAGACATTCCATATTCATGAATTGGAAAACTTAAGATTATTAAAATGACAATACAACCCCAGCAGATTCAATCTAATTCTTATCAGAATCCCCAAAGCACTTTTTATACAAATGAAAAAGCCCCTATCAATATTTAAATAAAATTTGAAAAAGCCCAGAATAAGCAAAACAATTTTACAAAAGAACAAAGTTGGAGGATTCACCCTTCTTGACTTCAAAACTTACTATAAACTACATTATTCAAAACAATGTGGCACTGAATGAGGATAAACCTATAAATCAATGGAATAGAGCTGAGAGGCCAGAAATAAACCTACGTACATACAGTCAATTGATGTTTAACATAGTCTTTGTCAAGATCATTCAATAGGGAAGTAACAGTCTATTCAACATAAAGGTAGGAAAAGTGGATGTTCACATGCAAAGATTGAAGTTAGACCCTTACCAAAATTAACTCAAAATGAATCAAAGTTTTAAATCTAAAAGATAAAACTATAAAATTTTTAGAAGATATATAGGCAGATCTTCATGATCTTGGATTTGGCAGTGGTTTTTTAAAAATCACCCCAAAAGCACGGGCAACAACAACAATAAAAATAGATTATTTGGACTTTATCAAAATTAACAACTTCTGTGTATCAAAGAACACTATCAAGAGAGTAAAAAGACAATCCACAGAATGTGATAAAATATTTGCAAATTATGTATCTGATGGAGGTTTACTATCTAGAATATGTTAATAACTTCCACAACTTAACAACAAAAAGTCTAATTGGACAAAGGACTTGATGAGACATTTCTCCAAAAAGATATACAGAGTCAATAATCACATGGAAAGATGATACTCAACATCATTAGTTATTAAAGAAATACAAACGAAAAGTATAATGAGCTGCCTCTTCAAACCTACTAGATTGACAATAAAAATAAATAAATAAATAAAAACAGAAAATAACAAGTTTTGGCAAGAACCTAGAGAAATTGGAACTCTCTTTTGTTACTGGTGGGAAAGTAAATGCCACAGCCACTGTAGAAATTGATTTAGAGTTAACTCAAAGTAGTTAAACATAGAATTACCTTCGAACCCAGCAATTCCACTTCTACATATATAACCAAAACAATTGAAAACAAGAACTCAAGCAGATACTTGTATACAAATGTTCATAGTAGCACTAATCACAATAGTGGAAATAATACAAGTGTCCATCAACACATGAATTGATTAAAAAATGTAGTATATACATATAATGGTATATTGTTCAGCCATTAAAAGGAATGAGGTTCTGATACATGATACAACATTAATTGACATAGAAGACATTATGCTAAGTGAAATAAGCCAGACCCAAGAGGGCAGATATTATATAACTCCATGTTTACTAGATATCAATAGACAAATTTGTAGAGACAAAGTAGATTCAAGGATACCAGCAGCTGAGATGAGGGGGCAATGGAGAGTTATTGCTTAATGAATACAGTTTAATTTTGGGATGATGACAAATTTTGGGTATCAAAAGAGGTGATAATTGCACAACATTGTGAATTTAATGCTACTGAATTTCATATTTTAAATGGTTAAGTGGCAAATTATATATTTATATATTTTACCCCAAAGTATAGTGAAATCAAGAAAGAAATTAAAATGTTACACTCCAAAATATCCACCAACACAAAATAATAAGTCAGAAGGAAAGTGAAAAGAAAACAAATGAAACACATAGAAAAAGAAAAAGAAAATGGCAGATGTAAATCTAACTGTATCAATAATAATATTAAATGTTCATCGATTGAGCAATCCAATCAAAAGACAAATATTGTCAGAATGGATAACAAAAGAAATCTTAACTATATGCTGTCTAAGGACATACAATTTAGATTGAAAGGGGTAATTTAGTTGAAAATAAAAGAAGGGAAAACATGTACCATGCAAAGAGTAACCCTAGAGAGCCAAAGGGACTATACTAATACCAGAAAAAAATAAACTCTAAAACAAAAGGTGCTACTAGAAACAGGGAAACTTTTATAATGATAAAAAGTTAACTCCCTCAAAAAGATATAACAATTACAAACTTATATGCAGTTAATAATATAGCCCCAAATTACATAAAGAATACCTGACAGAACTGAAAAGAGAAATAGAAAAACTAGGAATAAAACCTGGAGGATTCAATACTTCACTTACAATAAAGGATAATTACTCAGAAGATTACCAAGAAAATAGAGTTGAAAAAAATAAAAACGCAATCATTCTAACACACATCTGTAGAACACACCACTTAACAATAGCAGAATGTATATTCTTCTCAAGTGTTCATGGAACATATTCTAGGTTAGACAACATGCTACCTGTAAATCAAGCCTCAACACATTTAAAAGGATTGAAATCATATGAAGGGTCTTTTTAAAACACAATGAGATGAAAATAATAACATAAAGAAATTGTGGAATATCACAAATATGTGGAAATTAAACTATACACTCCGAAATCAAAAGGGAAATTAGAAAAGGTTTTGAGATAAATGAAAGCAAAAATACAACATTACTAAAACATATAGTAACACAGCTAAAGCAGGGTTTAGAGGGAATTTTAAAGCTGTAAACATCAATATTCAAAAAGAAAAATGGTTCCCAAATAAAAAACCTGACCTGCCACCCTAAGACACTGAAAAAAGAAGAGCAAACTAAATCTAATGTAAGGAGAAACAGGAAATAATAAATAAAACAGGAGAAATTTCTCAAATGGATAATATAAAAGTGACAGAAAAAATTAACCAAACCAAAAGTCAGTCCTTTAAAATTGTTAACAAAATTGGCAAACCTTTAGTACAACTGACCAAGAATAAAAGAGATGATTCAAATTACTAGAATGACATATGAAAGAGTGATATTACTACCAACCTTACAGAAATAACATGGATTGCAAGAGAATATAAACAACTGTATGTTGAAAAAAATTACGTAACTTAGATAAAATGGACGAATTCCTAGGATGACACTAACTACAAAATTAACACAAACTACTACTTCTGTTTCAAGAAGGAGGAGAAAATATAAATTGGCCTATAACAATAAAAGGAATGTCTTAATAATATTAAAATACCACACAAAGTAAAGCCCAGGTCCAGATGGTTTCAAACAATTGATGCTATCAACTATCAGAATATATCAACTATTTAAAAATATATCAACTATTTAAATAAGAAGTATTCTTCAAAACTCTTCCAAAAAATAAAAGAGAAAGGAGCATTTTCCAACTTATTCTGTAAGGTCAGTATTTCCCTAATACCAAAGCCAGACATAGATATACAAGTATATATATTTTAAATCTACAGACCAATATCATTTAAGTAGATAGATGTGAAAACCCTGAACAGAGTATTACCAAAGCAAATCCAGTCACATATAAAAATGACTATACATCAAGACAAAGTGGAAATGATCCCAGAAATGGAAAGTTGTTTTAACAGCTGAAAATCAATTAATATAATATACTATATCTTAGAATAAAGGACAGAAACACATGATAGTCTCTACTGATGCAGAAAAGTCATTTGATAAAATCCAACATCCTTTCATGTATTTTTGTTTAAATTCAGTAAACTAATTATAGACGATAACTTCCTCAGTCTAACAAATGGTATTTTTGAAAAACTCATAGCTAAAATTATATTTAGTTTTAAAGACTGAATGTTTTTTTCCTAAGATCAAGAACGAGACAAGAATGTATACTCTCACTAGTTCTATTCAGCATTGTACTAGAGGTTCAGGCCAGACTGATTAGGCAAGAAAATGAAAAAAAAAAAAAAAGAAGAAGAAAAACATCCAAATTAGAAAGGAAATAAAACTATCTCTATTTGAGGATGACATGATTTTTTATATAAAAAAATCCCAAAGAATCTACTTAGAACTATTAAAACTAAAACCAAGTTCAGCAAAATTGCAGAATACAAAAACAATATACAAAATCAATTGTATTTCTACACATTAGCTGTGAACCATCTGAAAATAAAACCAGTAAAACAATTTTATTTACAATAGCATCAAAAAGAATAACATACATAGCAATACATTTAACAAAAGAAATGGAAAACACACTGAAAACTATAAAGCATTGAAAGAAATTAAAGGTAAATAAATGGAGAGATATTTCATGTCATGGATTGAATAATTAATATAAATAAAATACCAGTGTTCTCTAAAGTAATATACAGATTCAGTACAGTTTCAATCAATATCCCAGCTGGCTTCTTTCCTGAAATTGACAAGCTGATTTCATATGAAAATTTAAATGATGCAGAATAGCCAAAACAATCTTTAAGAAGAAGAAATTTGATAGATTCACACTGCCCAATTTCTAAACTTACTGTAAAGCAGTATATAACTGGCCTAAGACTAAACAGATAGCTCATTGGGATAAAATTGAAAGTCCAGATAGATACCTCGCCATTTATGGTCAATGGATTTTACAAGAGTGCCAGGACAACCCAATGGGAAGAAGTAGTCTCTGAGACTACTGAGTATACATGCACATGCAAATGAATGAAATTAGACCTCTATCTCACACATACATAAAAATGTACCAAATAGACCTCGATGTAAGAACTAAAACTATAAAACTCTTAAAACATGGGAGAACAAAAGAGAAGATAACCCACAGAATGGAAGAAAGTATTGCAAATCATGTCTCTTATAAGGGTCTAGTATTCAAATTATTTAAAGAGCTTTTACAACTGAATAAGATGCTGTGCGTGGTGGCTCACACCTGTAATCCCAGCATTTTGGGAGGCCGAGGTGGGCAGATCACGAGGTCAGGAGTTCGAGACCATCCTGGCTAACACAGTGAAACCCCATCTCTACTAAAAATACAAAAAATTAGCCACGCGTAGTGGCGGGCGCCTGTAGTCCCAGCTACTTGGGAGGCTGAGGCAGGAGAATGGTGTGAACCCAGGAGGCAGAGCTTGCAGTGAGCAGAGATCACGCCACTGCACTCCAGCCTGGGCAGCAGAGCGAGACTCTGTCTCAAGAAAACAAAAATAAAAACAAAAAACCAACAACTGAATAAGAAAAAGAAATTTAACCCAATTAAATAATAGGTAAAGCTTATAAATAGATATTTCTTCAGCAAATATGTGTGAATGTCCAATAAAATCATGAAAAAATAGTTGGCAACATTAGCCAGTAGGCAATCAAAGTCACAATGAAATACCTCTTCACACAGACAGGTATAGCTGTAATTTAAAAGAAAGATAATAATAAATGTTGGTGAGGATGTGGAGATATTAAAACCCTCATAATTGCTGTTTGGAATGTAAAATGGTATAGCTATTTTGGAAAAAATATGGCAGCTCCTCAAAATTTTAAAGTTGGTGTTATCATAAGATTGAACAATTTTACTCCTAGGTATATATTCCTAAGAAAAATAAAAACGTGTCCATAGAAAAACTTACACGTGAATTTTCATGGAAGCATTATTTATAATAGTCAAAAAGTAGAAACAACCCAAATGTCTATCAACTGTTAAATAGATCCGCAAAATGTGGCACATCCATTACTATTTACATCCAATGAAATATTAGTCAATAAAACGCATAAAATACTGATACATGCTACAAGATGGATGAACCTTGAAAATACCATGCTAAGTGAAAGAGGCCACATTGAAAAGACCACACGTTATATGATTCCACTGATATGAAATCTCTTGAATAGGAACCTCTGCAGAGACAGAAAGTAAATTAGTAGTTGCCTAGGCTGGGGTGTTGGGGAGAAACAGAGAATGACTGCTAGAGGTTATGGAGGTTTTTGTAGGAGGGAATAAGAAGGTGCTCGGGGGAGGGGAGTGAAAATACTCTAAAATTGATCATGGCAATGTTTGCACATGCCTGCAAATATACTAAAAGACATAGAATTTTACACTGTAATTGGGTCTATTACATGGCATATGGATTATATCTGAATAAAGATGTTTAAAAATTAATAATTTGGGAAAAAATTGGAAACCAAAGATGAGATAAGTCACCTATAAATTATACATTTATACTGAAGAATTAGTTATATGTAAATATAAGATGAGGATGATTTGGAGAATTAAAATCTCTATTAAGTGTTAGTCAATTTTGGGTTATGAGTATATTGGAGTTTGCTACTTTTTCTTCAAGTTGTAGTTTTTAAAAAACTTTAAAAAGTGAAAAATAAAAAAACAGGAAAGGATTTCACTATTACTTTATCTCCCAGGATATTTAAGGTTTGGTCTCATTCTCTAAATGTACTTAAAACAAGACCGTTGGACTTACATTTTGTTAACATAACAAAAATGTATTTATCATTTCAGAGATTTCCGCATATTTTGCAACTGGCTCCTCAATGACATACCATTTTCAAGAACACTACACTTTAAGTGAAAACTCCAGCTCTCTCGTTTCTTCATTACACAGAGATGTAACATTGACCAGAGAAATGATCACACTGAGCTTCCGAACCACACGAACTCCGAGCTTATTGCTGTATGTGAGCTCTTTCTATGAGGAATACCTTTCAGTTATCCTCGCCAACAATGGTGAATATCTTTTGTGTAAAGAAAAAGAGAACCCTGAGTTAGAAAAATAGGACTGTAATGACATGGGTCTTTTCAGCAGTCAAACTACAAACGATGAGAGAAAACTGTATGCCCTCCAATGGGTTTGGTTTTTCAGTGCCTGCCTTAATGGTTATGTATAAAAGCTAGCATTTCAAGATTAAATTAAGATGCTTTTCTCCCATTACATGTTTGATAATTTTACGGAGTTGATATGCAGTTATATTTCTTATTATTGATAGGATGACTTTAATAGTACATGATGACTCAAATTGGTTTTGCAGTTCATTTTGAAATAAGATATCTAGATACATGACATACATTCCCTCCTCATTCTAAGCAAAATAGAGGAGCATTTATGTGGATGTTATAGTACAACTATATAAAAGCCAATTCCTATAAGCAACAGATAAGTACAGCTGTTCTTTATCTCATCAGTGGCTGAAAAACTAGTTATATCACTTTTATAGAAGAAAAGTGTAATGACAACCTCTCAAACAGTGGTAGTTGGGGCATTGCAAGGTTTTTACAGTTGAACAAGAAGACCAAGCTTTAAGTCTGTTAGGTACACAGCACAAAAATTTCATGCCTAGAAAAAAATCTACAAAATCTCTGAGTAGGCTGGATGTGGTGGCTCACGCCTGTAATCGCAGCACTTTGGGAGGCCAAGGCAGGCGGATCACGAGGTCAGGAAATCGAGACCATCCTGGCTAACACAGTGAAACCCCATCTCTACTAAAAATACAAAAAATGAGCCGGGCATGGTGGTGGGCACCTGTAGTCCCAGCTACTCGGGAGGCTGAGGCAGGAGAATGGCGTGAACCCAGGAGGCAGAGCTTGCAGTGAGCCCAGATCGCGCCACTGCACTCCAGCCTGGGTGACAGAGCGAGACTCCACCTCAAACAAACAAACAAAAAAAAAAATCTCCGATTAACAGGATCTTAGTATAAACTAAAAGAGAATTACAGATAATGAGGGCACATCTGTGTAGGAGAGGGGTATGTATATTAGAAGATGTAGATACTATGGAAACCTTGTCTCCTGACAAAACCTTTTCTTGTCCTCATTTTTGGATTATGGCAGAAGACTTAAAATAATCTGGCTATAAAAAAATCTTTATGCACATATCAGTGATACATTAAAATGAGCCTTATTAGAAGTTATAATTACAGGAACTGAATGTTGATACAATATTGCATAGAGTTTCATCATTTCATAAATATCAAAGTCATAATGAATTTAGATCTGAGTTCCAAGCTCATATGCATAATTTAAACCTTTTCATTTTTAAATGAAAAGGTTTGGGGAGACTGCTTATTAACAACACATTTAGTCTTGACTTTTCAAATAGCATCATTGGACTCAGAGTCTGGCACAGGAATAGCACTTAAGTAATCACTGTTCCGGGAAAGATAACTATTGGGTGCATCTAAATTGATGCTAAATAGATTCAAAAGTGCTATAAGTAAATAATAATAAAAGTGCTCTAGAATCTGTATCAAGAGTTTTATAAAATACCACTTTAATTTTAAATGCCATTTATTTTTCTTTTTAGGAAGTTTGCAGATTAGGTACAAGCTAGATAGACATCAAAATCCTGATGCATTTACCTTTGATTTTAAAAACATGGCTGATGGGCAACTTCACCAAGTGAAGATTAACAGAGAAGAAGCTGTGGTCATGGTAGAGGTAATCCCACAAATGCAAAAGTCAAACTAACTAATATTATTATTTTAAGAACAAATAATCTAATGAAAAAATTTGATAATATTAATAGAAGAGCAACCCATTCAGTGCTGCTCTTCCATAAGTCAAGAAGAAGCCAAATATGGCCAGGATCTGGGAGAGAGGAGGTGGTTGTTTATTCTGTATTGCTTTGTTTTGTTTGTTTAGCAATGCAATTCTGTCAAAGGTATTATTAATATTTTACTATTTAAAATATCAAAATATCTATTTGTTTTACTTTACTCAATAGGGGAATGTTCTCTAGTTTATCATAGTGACTGCTGGTGGAATCTATTCATTGATACTGCAGTGGGAACTTGTCTTATTCTGATTATAAAAGAACAAATACTTTAGCAACTTAAAAACACGGTTTAAAAGCACACAACATAGTTATTAAAATGGGAATAAGTAAGAAAATAGACCTGAGTCACCACAGAGGAAGTAAATTACACATTGTCATCGGCATTGGAAGGAAAATATACTGTATAGAGAACAACAATGCTTGGTTTTATGTTTCAGATTTTCTCCACAGAATGAGTACATATTTAAGTTTAAAACAACCAATTCCATCTTTTTCATGGATTCTGCCAATTATAGATCCTTCCATTATGAAGAAGAGTAAAGCCAGCAAGTGGGTACATCGTGGATAGAGTGGTAGCTGATGGCATCATAGGAATTGCTTATAAAATAGCTTCTCTTTCTAAATGATTAATTATTTGAAGGTGGCTTCTTGAGCTTTTGTAATGGTACTTAAAAGTGATTTATTTTCATCTTTCCTTTCCTCATCTTCCTTTGCTTCCTTATCATTAAAATTGTACTTTCTGTTGATGTTTGCTTCTCATGGGACATCTAATAGGTTAACCAGAGCACAAAGAAACAAGTCATCTTGTCCTCAGGGACAGAATTCAACGCCGTCAAATCTCTCATATTGGGAAAGGTTTTAGGTAAGTAGGAGAAAGAGCTTTTTCCCAAATAAGTGTCATGTCACAAACTCTGGAAGCATTCATCATGCTGAAAGAAGCTCCTTGTCTTACTTGAATAATAATTTCACAGTGAGTGACAATCAAGGTGCAAACTGTACTCTTGCCTGAGTGTACATATAATCATGACTAAGTGCTACCTGTGAGATGTGCAAGGGCGTTCCTGGAAAAATACCTCCACACTTAACCTCTCACTTGGCAATCATGCATAATGAATCACGGTATTTTTCTAATCCTTCTTGAAAAGTGAAATGTTGTCAAAGCTGACACGAAGTTCACAGATTATGTATGTATTAATCAACATCAACTCCGGAGACCATCATTCAATGATAAAACTACGTTTGAGTTGAACACAAGAGAAAAAACTGGTAATCTTATTACAGCAGATGAATACAGTTTTATTTTTCTCTCAAGCCCTGCTTTGCCTGTTGTTTCCATCCTTTTTGACTTTAGTATCTAACAGGAATGGGGAGGCATATTCATAAATATCTGTTACGCAAGGTAGAAAGTTACAGTAATTGTCTATCATATTGTCTATCATAATCTGTTGTAAAAGCACAGTTAGCTTTACATTTAATAAAGGAACTGAGGAAAGTAATCTTTTTTTAAAAAAACCCATCTTATGTAACTCAATTAAGAAAATGAACTATACTTTAATATTAGGATCAAAAAGTTGAATAATATTTATTATATACATCTTTGTTTCCTTCCAAATAAAGGAGACATGGAATTGAAGGTGTTAATGTTTTCATTCAAGGATGGTATATTCAAAGGCATGTAACTTACGGTATAAAAATCTACATTGAAATTCAGCAATGAAGTATATACTCAGAAGCAATTGATCTTAGAAAATTATAAATATTCATTTTGCCTGTCCTTGGAGGTAGAGATAATCATCAAACATTAATAAAACACTTTATACTTTGAACAACTGTATTTTAGGATTGGTTCTGCTATACATTTTTTGCCACTCTCACATCATTTAGTAATTATACCAAAACTACAATTTTATCTTTAAATTTGGAATTATATAGGAAGTGCTTTCCTTAACTTATAGTAAAATAGACCAACAAGTTGGCTAATAGAGAAGCCACTAATTTTACAAAGAAAGTTACCCAAAACACTCTGTTCTAAGTTACCAATATATTTCTCTTGAGTCCCTGTAAATCTTCGATTCATCCCTTCATTTAAAAATATTTGGTGAGTGGCCGGGTGTGGTGGCTTACGCCTGTAATCCCAGCACTTTGGGAGGCTGAGGCAGGCGGATCACGAGGTCAGGAGATCCAGACCATCCTGGCTAACACGGTGAAACCCCGTCTCTACTAAAAATACAAAAAAAATTAGCCGGGCATGGTGGCGGGCGCCTGTAGTCCCAGCTACTCGGGAGGCTGAGGCAGGAGAATGGCGTGAACCCAGGAGGCGGAGCTTGCAGTGAGCAGAGATCCTGCACTCCAGCCTGGATGACAGAGCGAGACTCTGTCTCAAAAAAAAAAAAAAAAAAAAAACTTGGTGAGCATCTGCTATGAACAGTTTATTAAGCACTGAGAAAGCCTCTGAATGAAACACTATACCTACCCACCCTCACTACACTCACATGTTAATAGGTACATAGGCTAATATATGAGCAATTCTAATAAAATAATGCTCATATCCAGCCTAATTTATTATTATGCACCCTAACAATGCCTTAGAAAAAAATGGTCCAAAATCCATCATAATTAAGATGCTGTTTCTGAGCACCTCAATATGATTTTGCCATTTCTGAGTAGTCTTAGTGAATGAAGACCATTCAGATTGATTATCACAAGATCAATTCAGAGTAAACCTATTTAAATATAAGCTTTTTAGATTTTGAATTTTCTATATAGCTTTGAATTTTATCCAAGAGGTAGCTTTAAAGAATGCAGACACCTAAAATACTTTATAATTCAGTAAAGATGATCCATCATAAATTAAGATTTGTTTTTAGATACTTTGGTATTATTGTATTCTTTCTGTTTTGCTTTGTGTGTGTACATGTGCACATGTATTTAAACACTTTTGAGATGAGTATCACTCTGTCGCCCAGGCTGGAGTGCAGTGGCGCAATCTCGGCTCACTGCAACCTCCGCCTCCCAGGTTCACACGATTCTCCTGCCTCAGCTTCCTGAGTAGCTGGGATTACAGGCATGTACCACCACGCCTGGCTAATTTTTGTAGTTTTAGTAGAGACGGGGTTTCATCATGTTGGTCAGGCTGGTCTCGAATTCCTGACCTTGTGATCCACCCGCCTCAGTCTCCCAAAGTGCTGGGATTACAGGTGTGAGCCACCACACCTGGCCCCTTAAACACTATCTTAAAAATTACATATATATATCAAAAAAACAGAGTGCAAAAATGGAAGATGCCTTTTTGTCTGCTCCCAAAAAGTAAAAAAAAATTAGCCTGTAAACAGTTGCATATGAATACAGCTGAGCTTATATACCTTAGGAGGTATACATTCTAGGCTGAAGAAAAGAAAACCCACTGAAGGACTATATTTCAAATAGAGCTCTAGATATGTAAGAATGCCAAATAGTTTTGGTAATTAAATATTTCTGGAAATTGCCTTTTGAGTTTTGTAAGGAGATGTCACATAAGACATACAGTTTTAACATTTTAAAATTCATCAACCTATGTATTTTATATTACTTCTGTGCTATGGTGTTTGTCTCATTTAGAAGAAATGTTTTATGTTGGGTCTGGGATTTGATTTTACCTGATTTACGAGCTAGGAAGTTAACAGCTTTTAACTGTTTTGTGGATGCTGTCCTGGTACAGAGACAAAGGACCCTACTACTCATGGCACAGCAAGCCTCGTGAGCAGCAGTTCATTTGCATTGTTTTCCCTTGGCCCTGAAGCCTTACGGGGCAGTGATGGGTGCAGATGAAGGCTGCACCTGTGGCCAGGTTTCCACTGCAGCAGAGGAACACTGAGTTTGGGGAATCCACCGATTTTGTAACAAGCACTAAGCAAGTCTGTTCTTTGTCCTGGAGGGGGTCATGACCTTATCCCTCAATGTTGCTTGCTTCAATTATAGCCTTGAGAAGTGGCCTGAGTAAAGTGCTGTCAGCATCTTGCACTTCTTGGCAAACCCAGCAAAGCATGAGGAGACACTCAGAGCCAATGGTGGATTGCCTCTTTCAACATTACAGAATGAAAACACCTAAAAACCCTATAAAAAGTCAAGAAGATAGGAGATTTTGTGGGTTTTTTTTTCCAAGAAAGAGCAATGATTATATCAATTAGTCCTTTATTGGTAAAATGAGGAGGCTGCACTAAGTTATCATCAAGATTCTCTTCGATAGAAAATTCTAAGATTGTTCTAACTTGGTCCATTAACCAGGATTCAGTGGGCATCACAGATGTCTTGAGATCTTTGAAAGTATAAGTCAACAAAACTAATGCTGTCCAATAGAACTTTCTGTGATGATGAAAACGTGTAAAGTCTGTGCTGTCCTATGTGGTAGTCCCCAGACTCACTTGAGATAAATGAGTTTTTAAGCACTAGAAATGTGGCTAGTATAACTGAGGGACTAAATTTTACATTTTATTTAATTTTAATTGATTTGAGTTTCTTTGTTTTTTTTTTTTGAGATCGAGTTTCACTCTGTCATCCAGGCTGGAGTACAGTGGCGTGAACTCGGCTCACTGCAAGCTCTGCCTCCCGGGTTCACGCCATTCTCCTGCCTCAGCCTCCCAAGTAGCTGAGACTACAGGCACCCACCACCATGCCCGGCTAATTTTTTTTTTTTTTTGTATTTTTAGTAGAGATGGGGTTTCACCGTGTTAGCCAGGATGGTCTTGATCTCCTGACCTCATCATCCGCCCACCTCGGCCTCCCAAAGTGCTGGGATTACAGGCATGAGCCACCGTGCCTGGCCTGATTTGAATCTCAATGGTCACATGTGGCTAGTGTCTACCGTATTGCACAGTGTAGAAGACTGTCCACTTATCTAGTCGTTTTTTCCTTTAGTTCAACCAAGTGGCACCCTTTTGTAAGGATAGACATCTGTCTATTTGGCATGACTTCAGTGGGCTGGGAAGACAACCCTATCTCAAATATTTTTTTTCCCACAACGTCAAGTGCCAGTATTTCAAATTCTGTATTAGAGATCCATTCTTTTGACTCTTCTGCCAAAATACATATGCCCCTGAAAGTGTTATCAAAAGCCATGACCAGGAATTTGTGCAAACGTGAATTTACTCGGGAGCAGGCTTTGATGGAACAGAATAGAGAATTGGAAGGGGGCTGGGTGCAGGACCCCGAAGTTGAGAAAGCCCAGAAAGGGAGGCAGACAGGTCACCATACATTTTTGATTAGAGCTATTCAGCTAAGAGAAGCAAAAGTGAAGGGTTTTGACCATGTTGCCATGTCAAGGTAATAGACAGGAAACTGTATCTACATGTCACCACAGTTAAGAGTTGAGTTCTACTGAATATTGGTTAACTGATAAACAATAAATAGTAGTGCTGGCTAAAATCTGGGAGTACAGAATCACGAGTTTCTTCCTGGATTGTGGTGTGATTGCCAGGTACACTTCAGAGTGGGCAAAGGAATGCCTTTCTTTCAGATTTTCCAGCTTAAACAAAGTATATATGGTGATCATTTTCTAATTAAGTCATTTATTAAAGATGTAAGAAAGTTCTCTGTTTCATCAGCTCCAAATTAAACAATTGCTCAAGGTTTTTATTCAGGGTTTTAAAGAGAAGTCTGGCCGGGCGCAGTGGCTCATGCCTGTAATCCTGACACTTTGGGAGGCCGAGGTGGGCAGATCACAAGGTCAAGAGATCGAGACCGTCCTGGCCAAAATGGTGAAATCCCGTCTCTACTAAAAATACACAAAAAAAATTAGCTGGGTGTGGTGGTGCATGCCTGTAGTCCCAACTACTTGGGAGGCTGAGGCAGGAGAATCGCTTGTACCTGGGAGGCGGAGGTTGCAGTGAGCCGAGATCGCGCCACTGCACTCCAGCCTGGGGACAGAGTGAGACTCCATCTCAAAAAAAAAAAAAAAAAAAAGGTCTGCCCTAAAATTATGTGATTCTTCTCTAAACTACAATTATTTAATGTAAAACCATCTTGTATCATGTCAAAAGATAGAAATACTCTTGTTAAGATCGTGTGGCAGACTTTATTCAGGACTATGGCAATAGGTATAGGAATTACTGGAATGGAGCTTTGCAGTTGGGGAAAGAGACTGAGCTCAACTTCAAATACAACAAGGAGAAGTGTGGATTCGTAGCCAAGGAGCAGAGTGGCTGGGGTGGGGTGTCTGAGTGGAAAACTACAAAATGGGAGAGTAATTCTTGCTAAACTGACTCACCAGGTTTCCTGGTGATGCCAGGCCAGTGTTGTCAGACATCACCTGCGGGGTGGTGAGAGGGATGAGAAAGGTGATTAGATATTGAGAGTGATCAGATATTGAGGGTGGGAGATTTGGGTTAAAACCAAATTGGCAGGATTCTTGCTAAGCTGGACGATGAAAGACCAAAGGTCAGGCTGGTTGAGCAGAGAGCTTAGAGTAGCCTGACCAACATCTGGTCATAGGGAGAATCTTTGTCCATCATGTCAAAGTTCTTTCTTGGAAAAAATAAATTATGTAAAGATCCTTGAACTGGAAACATCATAGAAAAATAGAAATGTAAGAGAAATTGTCATTCTGGTCAGGATCTAAATGTACTAGAGTAAAACCAAAGAAGAGTAAAAAGGGAAAAGTGAGAGAAGAAAAAGAAAAATTTCCCAAGCCTCTCATTTAGGGAAGAACTGTTGTGGGGAACCCCGCGGTGGTGTGGGAGGGAGGGTGGGGAGAAAGAACCATGCAATCGCTCATCTCACTGTTGGGAATGGGGGAAAGTTGGAAAAAGAGGATCTTGTTTTCATATAACAGTGTGAAGGCATGATTTTGATTGTGAGGGCTAGGGAAGTTGAGCTCTCAAACTCACAAAAGGGAAAGCAGGAAATAAGAAGGAAACTGATTAAACCAGCAAAATAAAAGGAAAAAAAGAAATAATGTGAAATAAATAGTGTAAGATAAAAAATAAAATCAGATATAGTGGTTATTACTCTAAAGACAAATGGACTAAATTCTGTCAAACTAGCTTTAAAATTAACAGTTAAATGCTCTTACAATATTGAAAATGAAGGGGCATGCCAAGAACTAGCAGGCAACAGCTGATAAATTTAAGAAATGCAGCACTACTTTCAGATAAGATTGAATTTAAGATTGGAATATAATCGAATCTTAAATGAGATAAAGAGGGATATTATCTGATGACAAAAGATACAGTTTATTAAGATAATATGAAAGTCATCATACAAAATAGCAACTATAGTATGAAGGATTTCCAGAGCTCTGCCCTCATCTCCAAGAGTCGCTTTTCTGTAATCCTCCGGATTATTGGCTGTGAGCGCCATTAAAATTTTATTTTAATGCTATATTTTAAAAATTAAATGGCAGAGGATTTCTTAAATTTATGCCATGTAACCGCTTTCCTATGAAGCTCTGTTACTTGCAGAGAGCCAGCCATCTGCACTTGAACGAATCTGTTAAAAACCTGCCTTTCATAACCCTGACAATGGAAATAGTTGCCAGACAGGTAAAGATTCACGGTGACCTCTCCTGGAGTGAAGGAACGAGGGGTTCGGAGGGACCTCTCCTGGAGTGAAGGAACGAGGGTCGCTGTCTTGCAGATGCGGGGTGTGCCTGCGCCCCCATCTCCGCCGCTGCGCCCTAACTGTGTGTTCCCCTTCTGTCCTCAGAGGCTGCCGGCGCGGACCCGGACACAAGGCGGGCGGCGACTAGTGGCTTCACTGGCTGCCTCTCGGCGGTGCGCTTCGGCCGCGCTGCTCCCCTGAAGGCGGCGCTGCGCCCCAGCGGCCCCTCCCGGGTCACCGTCCGCGGCCACGTGGCCCCTATGGCCCGCTGCGCAGCGGGGGCGGCGTCCGGCTCCCCGGCGCGGGAACTGGCTCCCCGACTCGCGGGGGGCGCAGGTGTGTGGCCCTCCACCCCTGCGCACCTGAAACTGCGCTTCTCTCAAATGTTTGTGAATTTCTCAAAAGCCTTCTTTTCTCCGTCTCTGTCATCCTTCTTTTTTTCCTTTTTTAAAATACATTTTTGTGATGTTCTTATTTTAATTCACTTTTAATTGACAAGTTTGCTATGTGTAAATTGTGGCGTGATTAAATCAAGCTAATAAACATCATTCTCCCTTTCCCTGTTGTAGGTCGTTCTGGACCAGCGGATGAGGGAGAGCCCTTGGTTAATGCAGACAGAAGAGACTCTGCTGTCATCGGAGGTAACAAGGCCCTGAATGACCTGGTGCTTGTCATTATCGCTTTAGATAATGATACCATTACTTAGCACAATGGGAAATATATGTAAGAATCAATACTCAATGGTGAGGTCAGAGGGGTGCTATGTATTGCGGTTGGTGGTGGTTTTTTGTTTTTTGTTCTTTGTTTTTTTTCTATTTGAGACAAGAGCCTCACGCTGTCACCCAGGCTGGAGTGCAGTGGTGAGATCTCCACTCACTGCAACCTCTGCCTCCCGGGTTCAAGCGATTCTCCTGCCTCAGCCTCCTGAATAGTTAGGGTTATAAGAGTGTGCCACTATGCCTGGCTAATTTGTTGTGTTTTTGGTAGACACAGGGTTTCTCCGTATTGGCCGTGCTGGTTTCGAACTCCTGGCCTCAAGTGATCTGCCCGCCTCAGCCTCCCAAAGTGCTGAGATCACAGGCGTGAGCCACCATGCCCGGCCTTCGTTGATTTTCTAAGGCAATATTTGCTGATTTCAGCTTCCCTGGGGGTTCTCAGCATGTAAGAATTCTGCCGAAACAATTTTTTTTGAAGAACAGTTACAAAGCTAATACTGAAAAGTTATTAATTTGAAAATAGCTGTATTCCCTAGGACATGTGGGATATTTGTCACGGTAATGACAACTGTTGGACGGACCTGAAGTAATTATGTTCAAAGCAATGGAAACCTCAGCTAATTATCAGAGCATACACTTTATGGTACTTTTCTTCAATGACAAATAGTATGATTTAGATACTCCCATGACAGTGTTTCACTTATTTAAGAAGTTTTTTGTTTGTTTGTTTGTTTGTTTGTTTGTTTGTTTGTTTTTTGAGACAGAGTCTCGCTGTGTCGCCCAGGCTGGAGTGCAGTGAAGCAATCTCGACTTACTGCAAGCTCCGCCTCCCGGGTTCACGCCATTCTCCTGCCGCAGCCTCCTGAGTAGCTGAAACTACAGGCGCCCGCCACCACGCCTGGCTATTTTTTGTATTTTTAGTAGAGGCGGGGTTTCACCCTGTTAGCCAGGATGGTCTCGATCTCCTGACCTCGTGATCCACCCGCCTCGGCCTCCCAAAGTGCTGGGATTACAGGCGTGATTATTTAAGAAGTTTTAAAGGCACACATTATTTAAAATGTGTTGTTATTTTAAAGTGTATAATTCCCTGTCATTAAGGACATTTACAATGTTGTGCAGCAGTAGCCATTGTATGTTTCACTTTTAATCATACTTTGGAAAGAACTAATCTCATAGGCTAAGAATGTTTTCTGGTTATTTTTAATTGAAGAAAAGTGAAGTTAAGCATAGCTTAAAAATATGTTTTGGCAATGAAAACTTTTTTTCTAAAATATAATTTATTTAGAGCTGGTGCAAAAAATAAGCATTCACCTTTCCTTGTTAATTAATGAGTGAATTATTGAAATCTTTGTTTGTTTGAGAGGGAGTCTCGCTCGTCGCAAAGGCTGGAGTGCAGTGGCGCCATCTTGGCTCACTGCAAGCTCCGCCTCCCATTCTCCTGCCTCAGCAGCCCAAGTAGCTGGGGATACAGGTGCCCACCACCACGCACGGCTAATTTTTTATATTTTTAGTAGAGACGGGGTTTCACCGTGTTAGCCAGAATGGTCTCGATCTCCTGACCTCATGATCCACCTACCTTGGCCTCCCAAAGTGCTAGGATTACAGGCATGAGCCACCATGCCCGGCCGAGTTATTGAAATCTTAATTGTATTCTTATTCTGCAGACTCTCCATAGCACATACAAGAGTAAACTAGTTGTGTTTGTTTCCTTCAAAATGACAGAAAACAATTTCGACATAATAAAGTTCTGACTAAATTTCAGTTGAGGATATTCACATTTCCATCACTATCTCAATTCTTTTTCTCTTAGAAATCAGTAAGGTGTAAATTAAAAATACATGACCTGATGAACAAAAACTGTTTTAAACAGTTTCCAGTGGGAATGTGGTCAATAATGCATATCTAAAAGGTGTACTTTCGTGTTCAATTTTAAATCAAATCCAATCCTAAATCAATCATGCCTTTTTAGGAGATTTTTTTCATTGCAATGCAAAAGCAATTTCAACATGCCGAACATTTTCACGCTAGGTTTCCAAGTCCTACAGACGTTTACACAATGTCAGGGTTAGTACCCAGCTTTTGGTGAGAAGGAAATGGGCAAGTTGATCATAGAACCAGCTCTTATCTTTGGAATTGTATTATATTGCTGGTGGTCAAATATCACTGGCAAGATTGACGGAGTAAACGTAAGGAAACATCTTAGCAGTGTTCTCTTCCGCTGAGAAATTCTTAGCCTGAACGAGGGGATGAAAAGGAGTCTGTGGAAGGCTTCCCCTGGGCTTTCCCAGAGGCAGTTTGCATTTTCTAATAGGGACTGGCTGAAGATATAAATTAATATTTGTGTGAAGTACTTTAAATGTACGATGTAGGCAGTAAAAGCGTGGGGGAGGAAATATAATTTCTCCTCATCATTCCTAACTTTGTAGTTGGGACAGACCTCTGATTAACAAGAGAAAAACAAGCAAGTTTACTAAGGCATGCAGCCCACAGCACGTGGGAGAAACCTCAGTGAAACTCAAAGCGCAGTGGCTTAGAAGTCTGGCTCATCTTCAACAATACATTTGTGGAGAAATGACAGGACAATGGAAAGCAATTTTAGGTGTCCGAAGGCAAGAAACCGTGGGAAGATAAATATATGGGAAGAAACTAGTGGAATACGTGTGTTTGTACATTCTTCTGCTGACATCCCTGAGCTGGTAAGAATGGTCTCCGGTAAAAGAGAATTTACATCCTGTCTTTAGATGAAAAGAGGGGAGGATCTAGAGAGCTCTTCCTCCATTGGCTGCTTCTTAATTGCCTTTACTTCAAAATATTTGTCAAAAAGGCATATTTGGGGGTGACATATTCTGATTACCTTCAGAAGCTTGTCTTTATACACATTTATTTCTTTTAGGGTAGATTTTACTTTCATTTGTCACTAATATGATTGCTTCAGTACACAGCATTCTGTGGCATGGCTTCATGCTTTAGCACTCTGGCTCTGAATTAAAGCCTGAAACAATTTATAAAGATACTGGTATCCAGGCCTTCCATTCATTTATTCTGATTTACTGACTTAGTGTGCAGCTAGAGTCGAGAATCATGGACACTGCTAATGGTTTCAATATTTTAAAACATTTTGCCCAGGTCTTTCAAATAATCCACATTCCAGGTAAAAAAAAAATGAATAAATATGCCTGCAATATTTTTGGTAATAGGGATTGATTACATATATAAGACACTACTGCGTTTGAGAAGTATATTATCGGCCGGGCGCGGTGGCTCACGCCTGTAATCCCAGCACTTTGGGAGGCCGAGGCGGACGGATCATGAGGTCAGGAGATCGAGACCATCCTAGCTAACACGGTGAAACCCCGTCTCTACTAAAAATGCAAAAAGTTAGCCGGGCGCGGTGGCGGGTGCCTGTAGTCCCAGCTACTCAGGAGCCTGAGGCAGGAGAATGGCGTGAACCTGGGAGGCGGAGCTTGCAGTGAGCCGAGATCGCGCCACTGCACTCCAGACTGGGCGACAGAGCAAGACTCCGTCTCAGAAAAAAAAGAAAAGTGTATTATCATAAAAGTATTTGAAAACATTTTCATTAAAATGTATCCATTTCATTGTACTAACAATAACATGTAATGATCTATGATGATGCAAACACTCTATACTTGTAAAATGATTTAACATTTCCCACTTGTTAACTGAAGGATGTACGCGGTCTTAGAGACATGTATGTCTCTATTCTTTTAAATCTGAAAGCATTATCTAAAACCCAATCATCATATACCTGTAGGGAAAAAGCCTAACACAGCCATATCCAAAAGTCATAGTCCGTCAGAAGTATGTTAAATGTTATAAAATTACTTGACCTCAGCATTTCTGAGTTTTGGTGTTTTCAATTTATAATATAATAGGTGTTTGGTTTATTTTAACCAAACTTAAAAAGCAATGATGTCTGCAAAGCCTCTGATTGGACCAAAAGTCACCATTTATACTCTGACATTGAGGCCAGGCACGGTAACTCACACCTGTAATCCCAACAATTTGGGAGACCAAGGTGAGAGGATCACTTTAGCCCAGGAGTTCGAGACCAGCCTGGGCAACACAGCAACACCCCATCTCTACAAAGAATAATTGTAAAAAGAAAAAAAAAAATAAGCTGAACGGTGGAGTGGGCCTATAGTCTCAGCTACTTGGGAGGATCAAGGCTACAGTTAGCTGTGATCATGCCACTGCACTCCAGCGTGGGCGACAGAGTGAGACCCTCTCTCTAAAAAGAAAAAAGAAAAAAAATTATGATGTTTTATTCTTTTCTCTCCCTAGGTGTGATAGCAGTGGTGATATTTATTTTGCTTTGCATCACTGCCATAGCCATACGCATCTATCAACAGAGAAAGTTACGCAAAGAAAATGAGTCAAAAGTCTCAAAAAAAGAAGAGTGCTAGGACAGCTCTAAACAGTGAGCTCGATGTGCAAAACGCAGTCCATGAAAACCAGAAAGAGCGAGTCTTCTGATTGGCAGCTGTGGCTGTCTCTATCATCGTGACTGTGGACTTCCCTGCTGTTGCCATCAGGGTGCACACAAGCAGGTGCAGTGCTGTCACCTGGCTGAAGACCTGCAGCCTCGGAGCCTCTGGGAGGTCCCTTTCTCCCTCGGTGAAACACAGTCCTCCACATCAATTTCCAAACAATGAATTAGGTATGGCCATTCATCACTGTTCAGTAGTTTCCCCGTCCAAAGGCTCTCTTCCAAAACTGCAGTTTGATCTGTGTTAATAATTGTGGGGTTTTAGATGAGAAAATGGCTATAAAGCTGTGGCCCTACTTTATTTTTTAAAAATGACAGAACTTTTGTTCAGATGTAAAAGACAAAATTGCACTTTAATGTTTTTTGTTACTTGAAAACATATCTGGGATCCCTTTTTTTGGTCCTCTGCTGATATTTATAAAACAAGAAATGCTTCTTGGACTACCTTCACTGGCATTTCCATAGTCCTGGAATCCAGAGCCAAGTGGCCTATCTAAAATTCACAGCCCTTTTATTCTCCTGTGTGATGGTTAATACAACACAGTTGAAGCCTGGAAACACTACCATTATTTTTGGTGTATTGCTTTTTCTAATTGACTGTTTTTAATGATTTTGATACATTTTAATGTTGAAATTAATATTGAATGTTAGCTATGAAATTTTAGTATTGAATTTTATAATGGAACAGAACATTGGTAGGTAACAAGATGCAAGAGGATGTCAATACAAGATTGTCTGCCTGTTTTTCTTTGTAATTTGTAATTACAGTTTTTGTAACTTGTGATTATGTTTTTAACTAAATTTACCACCAGATACAAACAATACTTCTTACACAGAGTTATCCTTTATTTATATCATTAAGACGTGAATGAAACATCATCCTAACTTACTTCCCCAAGATATTGAGAGGTCATATCTGTTTTTCTTTATCATTCATTTCTTTTTCTAAAAGTTGTTACTGATATGCTTTTGATTTCCTATGACTCTATTATGTTGTACAGAACATCTTTTCAATTTATTAAAAAAATAGCTTAACTGAAGATCACTAATTCCTTTTCTAAATTTTGAACTGCTCTAGGCATAAATATCATTGTGTATTATCCTTTCATCTAATCACTTTTGGAATGTAAACTGAAGACTGTTCACTCCAAGTTAAGTTAGCATTTACATGATGTTTATTAAATCTGCCAGTCTGATCACAGGTTTATGACCATGGGGCCAAATTCCCATAGATTACCCAAAATTGAATATGTGCAGTTAACTGGAACATGTCTCATTAAGGTTTACATACACACTAAGACAGCAAAGGATTGGAATTAACTTTATGGAGACAGTTCCAGGGACTAGTATTGAAGCAGTGGTTATTTGATAATGCATGGAACCACCATTTGGATTCAATAAACCAATTACATAAAAGCAATGATGCTACACTCTTCATATTCCAGATACCAACTGCCTACCAAGGACTAATGAGATGGTATATTTCTTCCACATCAGGGCAAGCTGAAAATATATTGATTCAGCGTTACTGTTACGTAAATGAATTTCCATCTTGTTATGGAAATTCGTATGTGTTATTTTTGAAAGAATGAATACACTCTCTGTCTTAAATCCGCTCTTAACAAATGATCTCTTCTCAGAATACTACATCTGTATTGAGAGTACAGACAGCCCATTGGTCACTGCACCTTTTGCAAGACAGCGAAACGGATGCATCAAATTGCATTGATACATCATCACCATCAATCTTTTGCACTGATTTTTAGACTTAATCTTCTTATTTGAAAATAAACTCATTTTTAAATAAAATAAAAAATATTTTAGGGAAAGCTCTATAAAATTAAAATTACAGAATTATATGCTTTTTAAAATTTATGCAAAAATGTGCAGACAAATGTATTCTGTATTGGTTTATGTATCACTTTGCCCTTGTATATTTTGAGATTATTAAGATTTGTTGACTTTTTTGGTTTGATATTTATCATCTGTTAAATTTTTCCTTTTAAATTATTAAATGCAAAGTGCAAGAAAAAGAGATAAATATTTACTGATTGCTAGATGTAAAAATATCTATGAATATATATATTTAAACTTCTGCCAAAGAGCAACCATCTAACAGTCAACTTACTAAAATCTAAATTGAGTACTTTTTACTGTTGCAGAGAATTAAGTCACTAAACGTTATTTAGATACATAGATGCTAGTTGCAAGTAACACCCTTTTGTAACATAAAAGTAAAAGCATAATAATTTCCCAACTTTTTTCTTCAAATTAAAAAAGAAAATAGCATATAATTACCATTCTTCATTTGAGAAAGCTGAAGATTCTGATGCTTAAAAACTTCAGAATTCTAATATTAAAAATAGAGTGGTTCATGTGACATTGAAGGCTTATCTCTGTAAAATAGTGACACTGGTGAGTGGTATTATCTCAATATTTTTGTCCAAATTCACCTTAGGAAATCACTGTAAATCTTCATTGTTTACTAAAAGTCATTATTACGGCATAAACTTAACATACTTTGATAGTAGTTACTACTGATACGTGACATATTCTACCCCGTGTCTCTATTACTCTGTCTCTATTACTGTGAAAAGTCACAGTAAATTTAACATTTTCTTCCAGACTGTGTATGATCTTTCATTGTAATAGAGACATGGAGTAGGATAAGTCATGTATTAACATGTAAGATTTTTTTAACCTGCTCCCTCAGTTTTATAGATGAGACAAAGATAAGGTTGTAAGAGCTAATCTCTTCAAGTAGGCAGTACTAGTAAGTTGTCATGCGTGGACTGAACTCCTGGCACTTCTCTCTCTTAACTTCAATCCATAGAGAAGCCCACCTTCCTGCCTTCCCAGTATTATTTAGCAGAGGAGAAAATCATATTAGGCTGTTTGATACTGTTTGCCTAGACTGACCAATAATTCTGGATCTTTGTTCACATCTTCTCTGAAAGAATATTTGATGGGAAATCTTTTTTATTTTTTAATTTTTGTGTACATACTAGGTGTATATATTTATGGAGTACATGAAATGTTTTGATACAGGCATGCACTGTGAAATAAGCACATCATGGAGAATGGGGTATCCATCCCCTCAACATTTATCCTTTGTGTTACAAACAACCTGATTACACTCTGTATTTTAAAATATGCAGTTAAGTTTTTATTGACTATAGTCACCCTATTGTGCTATCATATAGTAAGTTTTACTCATTCTTTCTACTTTTTTTGTACCCATTAACCTATCCCCACCTCTGCCCCACCATTATCTCAGCTGTCTACTACTTTTTTCAGCCTTTACTAACCATCCTTCTACTCTATATCCATGAATTCCGTTGTTTTGATTTTTAGATCCCACAAATAAATGAGAACATGGCAATGTTTGTCTTTCTATGCCTGGCCTATTTCACTTAACATAATGACCTCCAGTTCCATCCATGCTGTCGCAAGTGACAGGATCTCATTCTCTTTTATGGCTGAAGAGTACTCCATTTTGTATGTGAACCACATTTTCTTCATTCATCTGTTGATGAACACTTAGGGTGTTTCCAAATCTTAGCTGTTATAAACAGTATTGCAACAAATAAAAGAGTGCAGATGGAAAATTGATTTTGATGGCTTTTTTCTTTAATAAAACATTAATTTCTTCATGTATAACTGGAAGGCAAACAAATGATCCATTTGCTTAGTTTATTCTTGAATCCATAATATAAGTAACAGAAATGGATTATTAAAATATACTTGAATTTGGGGAAGAATGATATGGACACATTTTAAATCAAAACATGATGAATTGGCTGTTTAACCTACTACCTCATTGGCCAATCTGGGGCAAGATGAAAGTATTTGTAAACACTGTTTTGGCAATTATGTGTAAAGAGAGAACCAATTTTTTAATTAAAAAATTGAATTCTAAGAATTACAGAGCTTTTCTATTGGTAAAGACATTAAATATCATAGAGTCCAACGCTTTTCTCTTCCTTCACATCACTCCCAATGGATGTAGCTCAGGCTAAGTTCATTGCTGATGTGTTGTCAGAACAGCCACTCACGGTTTAAGTTGGTATACTTAAGTGCAAATGTAACCTTAAGAAGGTTACATAAAGTTGCCATTACTAGGAGTAGTAGCAGAATTTATTATGGATTAATCATATCGTCGGGAAAATGTACTGAAGCACTACTTCCTGTGGTATTTTTTTTACAAAATGATAACATAGTTTATTGCCTATAGGTTATGACCTAAAATTATATTTTTGCATTTTATTGTGCCATTATATATTTTAAAATGTGAGGTTCACATGGTTGCATTTGCTCTGTGAATAAAAATGTTTAAAATCATAAGATGAACTTTTAGATTTTGCGATATGAAAATTTCTAACTTAGCTAGCTTGTGATGGTACCTAAAAATTTAAGAAAGCCCTTAAAATAGAACCTCTGTGACTGCATGAGCACTTTGTATGACTCATATCACATTTTAACTCCTTAAGCAAGCCAATGAGGTAAAACATATAATTGTCCCCATTTTTGCAAAATTCACAAAGGCCTTCACTGCTTTGAGAAAACATTACACAGATAATTACTGACAAAAATGGGTTAGAATGCAGGTCCTGAGATGTCTAGTTCCTGACCAATTCTACAGGTTGCCTTGCTCCCATAATATGCTCCAATCTACAATGTTCATCTTAATCTGCAGTGAGTAAACATAATTGATAGCTAAATTTACTTCTTGTTCCAAATCTTTAGGATATGATTCATGTGTGTTATATACATACATATATATATGTGTATGTGTGTTTATACTTACATATATTTCTTTTTCTTATTTTACTTCTGGCTAAGATGGAGTAATAGGGAGCATATTTACCCTCTAACCCTCCTGCATGAAACAACCTCAAACCAGACAAAATATATGAAACTATGGTTTTCAGTACACTGGACATGAGGCACGGAATGTAATCCCTGAAAGACAGGAAACATAAGATGTGTGCTGTGAGTATCCCAGCTTACAACTTGAGAGAATTTGAGACAGCAGTGACAATGGAGATAGATAGCTTAAGGAAGCCTAGCAAGTCTCTGAATGGAGTAGCTGTTGCTGAGAGTTCAGGTACACGAAGGTGGCTAGAGATTGCAGGATAGAGTACCGGCGAGGAAAGAGCTGCATTGGAGAAAACTTTGCAAATCTGGAGAGGGTCGCCCTTCAGTGTGTAACAAAGTGCATGAAACTACCTGAGGCAAGGGAAAGAAACACTCAAAAGAATTACAGCGGCATTTATCAACCTTTAAAAAATTATTATTGACCTCAAGGAATCTTTTTAAACATCTTTTCTAGTCACCTCTCTATGAATTTTTTAATTTTTATTTAATTTAATTTAATTTTATTTTATTTTTGAGACGGAGTCTTGCTCTGTCGCTCAGGCTGGAGTGCAGTGGCGCGATCCTGGCTCACTGCAAGCTCCGCCTCCAGGGTTCATGCCATTCTCCTGCCTCAGCCTCCCGAGTAGCTGGGACTACAGGCACAAGCCAACATGCCCAGCTAATTTTTTTTTTTTTTTTTTTTTTTTGTATTTTTAGTGGAGGCAAGGTTTCACCGTGTTAGCCAGGATGGTCTCGATCTCTGGATCTCATGATCTGCCCACCTCAGCCTCCTAAAGCGCTGGTATCACAGGCGTAAGCCACTGCGCCCGCCCTGAAATTTTAATATCGCACATGCACTGCATATCTCTTTAGTACTATACGTATATCTGGGCTTTACACAAAAAGAATATTTTTCTTCTCTTCACTTCTCCCATCCCCCCCAAAAAAACTAATTTCTGTCGTTTTGGGGACAATATTACTCTCACTGAGAGTGCATGTTCACATACAACCATGAATAGAGGTGGTTGCCATGGGCTATACCAGAAATCCCCATAATTAATAGGGCATTAGGTAGAATATTCATAGGGGTCTTGCCTCAGTCCTGGCAAGTCCTAGACCATGTATTACTATGGCGGCCCCACTGAACAAATCTTCAAAGATTTGGAAAAAAAGATCAAACCGTTTCCAATAACTAATTGGCATCTCTGAGCAAAGTTCACATGTATTTCCAGTAACATAAAACTATCCAACACCAGGCCGGGCACAGTGGCTCATGCCTGTAATCCCAGCACTTTGGGAGGTCGAGGCAGGCAGATCACGAGGTCGGGAGATGGAGACCATCCTGCTAACAAGGTGGAAACCCCGTCTCTACTAAACATACAAAAATTAGCCGGGCGTGGTGTTGGGCGCCTGAAGTCCCAGCTACTCGGGAGGCTGGGGCAGGAGAATGGCATGAACCCGGGAGGCAGAGTTTGCAGTGGGCCGAGATTGCGCCATTGCACTCCAGCCTGGGCAACAGAGCCAGACTCCATCAAAAAAAAATCCAACACCCAACGAGGTAAAATCACAATGTCTGGTATACAATAAAAAATTACCAAGTGTGTGAAGAGGCAGAAAAATAGGACCTATAATGAGGATAAAAATCAATCTAAAATGACCCAGCACATACCCAGATGTTAGAATTACTAATGAAAAATATTATGACTATATTCCGTATTTTCAAAGATTAGGATGTGACAAGAAAAGGCTTTAATTAAACTTCGAGAGATGACAATGTTAATGTATAAGATTAAAAAATACAATGGATGTAATTAATGGCAGATGAGAGTTTTCAGAAGAAAATATTAATAAACTTGAATATATATAGCAGTAGAAAGCATCCAAAATGAAACAGAGACAGAAAAAAAACAAAGAATAATCAGAGTATCGGTGATCTGTGGGACAACTTCAGTTGCCTAATCTGTGTGTATTTGGAGTTCTCAAAGGAGAAAAGAGAGTGGATGGATAGAAAAAAATATTTTTAAAAATTAATACATAAGCATTTTCCACATTTGATGCAAACTATAAACCCACAGACCCAGCTCAACATCCCCAAGTAGGGGTGCTATTAAGAAAACCACATCACAACACATCATAAGCAAATGGATCAAAACTCAGTGTGGTAAAGAGAAAAAGACAAGTCTTACACAGAGAAGAAAAACAAGGATGATACCAGACTTCTTTTTGGAAGCAATGCAAGGGGAAGGGCAGTGGAGCAACATCTTTCATGCTTCCAGTGAAACATCTTCCAACCAAAAGCAGAAAACTCTCTCTCCTAGGTTTCTATACCCAGCAAAACCGTCTTTCAAGAAAGGATGAAACAAAGATATTTTTCAGACATAGAAAAGTTAAAAGTAATATATTATCAGCAAACCTGGACTATGAGAACAGTGTAAAAGCCTTTCAGGAAGAAGGAAAATAAAGAATAATATCTTTGTGCAGATAGAAACATGGATCCACACAAAGAAATGAAGAGCACTGGCAATAGTAACACCATAAGTAAATATACAATACCTGCCCTTATTACTTAAATATCTTTTAAAGATAATTGGCTGTTTAGAAATAATAGCAGTGTCATGTGAGTTCTGCAGCATGAGTAAAAGTAAAATATATGACAACAATAACCTAGAGTAAATGGAAATATAGTTTAGTTTGTAAGGTTCTTAGACTGTGTGTAAAGTCGTATAATGCCTATTAAAAGTTGGCTATTACAAGTTATCTTTAAGTTAAAACATCTGTATGGTGTAATCCCTAAAGCAAATGCTAGAGTAACAAAAACAGTGATAATATTACAATATTACACAATAATATTACAATGCAGCGATGAAATAGAATAAATTTTTAAATGCTTGAAAGTAGACAAAAAAGATGAGAAAGAGGACAAAGAACAAATGGGACAAATAGAAAGCAAATAGCAAGATATAAAATAAAAATCTGATAAATTTGACCTTAAGATTAACAACTCTCCTTTTAAAATACATTGTTAAGAGAATAAGAGTCAAGCTACAGACTGGGAGAAAATATTTGCAACACTTTATTTGAATGCTGTAAATTTTTTTCAGAATATAGTTCATAAAGAACTCTTAACAACTCAATAATTAGCAAAAATAAAATGAAAATAATGAATATAAGAAAAAATGACGAAAAGTGCTAGGCCAGTGGACAAAAAGCACACAAAAATGTTCAATATCGTTTTGTCATTAAGGAAATGCAAATTAAAACCACAGTGAGTTATTCTTCCCACTAAAATGGTTATGATTAAAAATATTGTCAGTACCACGTGTTGTTGAGAATATGGAGCAATTATAATTCTCATACATTATTGTTGGAATGTAAAATGCTACAACCACTTAGGAAAAATTGTTTAACATTGTTTTATATAATTAAGCATACATGAAACCTATGACCCAACAATTCCAATCCTAGATTGAAAAGAAATGAAAACTTATGCCCATTATAAGACTTACACAAGAACGTTTATAGCATCTTTACTTATAATATCCCCAAACTGTAAACTGCCTAAAAGACCTTCAACAAGAAAATGGACAAACAATTTGTGTTGTATTAATAATGAAATACTCTTCAGCTATAAAATGGACAAAACTACTGGTAACTGCAACAAACATGGCTGAATCTAAAAAACCTTGTGTTGAATGAATAAATCTAGACACTATAGGGTACATTCTGAAGTCCTAGAACAAGCGAAACTAAGATATAGCAGTAGAAATTGTATCAGTAGTTACCTGGGTTGAGGTGGGATGGGAGTTGACTGCAGAGAAACACAAGGGAAGTTTCTGGAGTGATGGAAATGTTCTATGTCTTGATTGACTATGGTTACATTGGTGTGGACATTTGTCAAAACTCTGAATTTCATATTTGGAATTTGTATATTTTGTATATAAATTATACTTCAATAAATATGTACATGTATATATATGTGTATATATAATACATTTTGATATGTCATGATGTCTATCACTTCACAGCATATTATATTTCTATCATACCATATTTACATAATGGAAAAAGATGAAAAGGATGCTGTATTTTGGGGAAATCACAAGAGATTATCACCTTTATTTATTTTTTATACAAATACATATAAATCTTTCACAGTACAATACAAATGTCAAAATGTGGTATTTTCATTGCTCTATAAATTCTTATATGTTCTATGTATGTAATAAATGTTAAAAACAGTGTTTATATGTTGTATATGTTTATTTGTTCTATGTGTTTACATGTTCACTGTTCTATAAATTCTCATATATTGTATACTATACAATCAGGTGATGAGCTGCTCAGTAAATAAGTGCTGAACACTCTGCATCCCTCATCACGTCAAGCATTTCACATCCCTTTTCCTGTAGGCTTCCACAGTAGACATTTGACTTGCCAATTACATTTTCATCCATCATTCTGGAGAAGCCTGGAGAAACAGCTAGACACAGGGGACATACTCCTATACCTTGCTCATTGTGCCTTGGAATTATACATATTGAAATATTGTAAAGATTTGCTTCATTTGTATCAACATGGCTGTGAAATTAGATGTCAACTCTACCTCAGTTCCAACTTTTAGGAGGAATCCAGATAGTTTATTAGAAAATAGAAGTGCAAAAATGTTTGCTGTTTGATTCTCAGACCATAGCCTGAGATTAGCAATATTAAAAAAAAAAATAGCAGACAGAAGAGGCCCAAGTCTCTCCCAGCTCCTGGGATGCATGGAAGCAATGGGCTGTGATGTCCTACTGAGGTAAAAGAAGTAGTGTTTGTTATAGTCCCACGAGCAGAAGCAGTAAGAACTTGAGGTAGGGTGCACCTAAAACTGAGAACAAGGGAAAGCTGAAGTAGGAAGTGTCACCAGGGAGGGACTATGGGTCCTTACTATGCGAAGAGAGAAAAGGATTTAATTAGGTCCAACAGAATATAATGCCATTTCAAAAACATTTTCTGTTAGGACAGTTTCCAGAGACTCTAAGTGGTTGTTTTTTGTGTGATGATTTTTGAGCTTGGTAGAATTTTTCTAGTCTGACTGGATCAGTTCTAGAAAGCTGCTCAGATGAATATGCAATGAATGCTTTCTCTCTTCACATACTTCTCAGTTAGAAGGAGAATATTTCAGGCCAAAAGGATGCAAGACCGTAGTTATATATGCCACAATCAGATCAGTGATTTTAATTTGCCCACCCTAAAGAAATATGAGTATATACCACTCTAAAGAAATCTGTCTTTCTAACATGTCTATCACTTTCTTCAATGATTCCATAGCAAACAGTTAATGAAAAACAACAATAATAGCACATGTATTAATCTTCACCACTTGTAATTTTCCAAGGAATTTAGACAGATCTATTGCAAAAAAATTCATCAATTCTTATGTTCTTTCCAAATAGTTTTTGCACTAAATGATATTATTCAACATTTCTCCATGTCTACCTGTACCTTCAGACCCTCACTAAATCCAATTAACCAAAACCCAAATTGGTTAGTGATGTTAAGCATTTTATGTCATATATGTCTTCTTTTTATTTTATGCTTATATGTCTTCTTTTGAGAAACATCTGTTCATGTCCTTTGCCCAGTTTTTAATGGGATTTTTTTTCTTACTGAGTTGTTTGAGTTCTTTATTAAAAAAATGCTCAGTATCACGAATCATCGGAGAAATGCAAATCAAAACCAAAATGAGATATCATATTACACTAGTCAAGATGGCTATTACTAAGAAGTCATAAACAACAGATGTTGGCAAGGATGTGGAGACAAAGGAACTCTTATACACTGTTGGTGGAACTATAAATTAGTAAAAACTCTAAGGAAAACAGTATGGAGATTTCTCTAAGAACTAAAAATGGAACTACCGTTCGACCCAGCAGTCCCACTACTGGGCATCTACCCAAAGGAAAAGAAATCATTATATTAAAAAGACGCCCACACTTGTATGTTTATTGCGGCACTATTCACAATAGCAAAGTCATGGAATCAATCTAAGTGTTGCTTGGATAAAGAAAACTTGTGGTAAATATACACTATGGAATACTATGCAGCCATAAAAAGAATAAAATCATGTCCTTTTCAGCAACATGGATGGAGCTGAAAGCCATTATTCTAAGTGAAGTAACTCAGAAAATTAAATACTGCATGTTCCCACTTACAAGTGGGACCTAAACAAAGAATACACATGGACATAAAGATGGAAATAACAGACATAAAATAGGCCTTTTTCAGCCGGGCGCGGTGGCTCAAGCTTGTAATCCCACCACTTTGGGAGGCCGAGGCAGGTGGATCACGAGGTCAGGATATCGAGACCATCCTGGCTAACACGGTGAAACCCTGTCTCTACTAAAAATACAAAAAAAAAAAAAAAAAAAAAAGATCAGCCAGGCTTGGTGGCGGGCTCCTGTAGTCCCAGCTACTCGGGAGACTGAGGCAGGAGAATGGCGTGAACCCCGGAGGCGGAGCTTGCAGTGAGCGGAGATCGCGCCACTGCAGTCCAGCCTGGGCGACAGAGCGAGACTCCGTCTCAAAAAAAAAAAATAAGCCTTTTTCTTTAACCAATACAACATCACTATTTCTACTGCAAGTGTTTCAAAAACATCTGTGCTATTTTGAAATATACCAAGTTTAAAACTGTCACAAGAAAAATGTCTTTGCGGCCGGGCGTGGTGGGTCACACCTGTAATCCCAGCACTTTGGGAGGCCGAGGCGAGCGGATCACGAGGTCAGGAGATCGAGACCATCCTGGCTAACATGGTGAAACCCCGTCTCTACTAAAAATACAAAAAAAAACAAAAATTAGCCGGGCGGGGTGATGGGCGCCTGTAGTCCCAGCTACTCGGGAGGCTGAGGCAGGAGAATGGCGTGAACCCTGGAGGCGGAGCTTGCAGTGAGCCAGGATCACGCCACTGCACTCCAGCCTGGACGACAGAGCGAGACTCCGTCTCAAAAAAAAAAAAAAGAAAGAAAGAAAGAAAGATAAATGTCTTTGCTATCTTTCCCAGGTCTCCAGCTGCCTCCACACTGGCGTAAGAAACACTGGAGGAAAAATGACCGCCTCACAGTAGTTTAAGCTGTTCTTTTGCCCATAGATGTACACATTTAAACTTGCTCCTAGCTCTCCAAGATCGCTTATTCGCTGATATGTTGCAATGACAACAAAATACAACTTCTGTTTGATTAAAAATAAAAGCAAGTAAAACATGTTTTCCCTCACTGGGTTCTGAGTTGATTAAATCCAGCTTATCATTGATGTTTTAAAATTGAGGTTATATTATATAGTTTAATTTTCAAAAGAGACTTTGATATATGGAAAATGTAAGCCAAGGAAAATAAAAATATGAAAATTCAGAAATACCATTGCTAGCTCATCACATATGTTTATTTAAATTTGGTTAGTATGCTGGAGAGAATTTGGGATTGAATTCAATTCTTTGTGCTATATACAAAATAAATTTACTAGCAGTTAGATGGAATTGGCTTAGAAACCTAATCCTATATGTAAATATTATAAAAAATTTTAATTCCAAAGTAGCTCAATAAAAAGAACTGGGCTTTGAAATCAACATGCTGGATAAATAGACAACTACTGTAGTTAATTCTAAATAAGCATCCTTACAGCAAAGAGATACACATTTTTACAAGGCTCTTTCTCTCAACTTTGGAAATAACAAGTATCTTTAAATTGCCATTGTCAGTATCTCTTCAGTAGATGCCCCTTGGCAGGGTGTGCTCTGCACTTCTCCGCTGTGATTATGTCTAGAGGAATTGCATCAGGATGGACAAGAATGGTTGTGTGGAAAAAGAATTTAGATTTGCTGTGAAAAATGGACTCCACAATGGATCTTCTGGGTTGATTAGTTAAGCAATTGAAACACGAAACCCAGTGATTTGAAATAACAAAACAAATTGCCTAATTTAGAAATATAATGAAAACACATATATTATTCAAAGACATGTTGCAACAATAGATGGCTAGCTGATGACTAGTTTTTAGTATTTGTAATATAGGGTGTATGTAATTTCTTTTTGAATTTAGCAAAATCCCAGCTTTTTTATATGGTATCTGAGTAAGGAAGATAAACATCTTTTTTTTTGAAATGGAGTCTCGCTCTGTCACCCAGGCTGGAGTGCAGTGGCGTGATCTTGGCTCACTGCAACCTCCACCTCCCAGGTTCAAGCAACTCTCCTGCCTCAGCCTCCCAAGTAGCTGGGATATCTGTATTGGCCAGGCTGGCCTCAAACTCCTGACCTCGTGATCCACCCGCCTCAGCCTCCCAAAGTGCTGGGACCACAGGCGTGAGCCACTGCGCCCGGCCAACATCTTTTTATAGTTTCTGATTTCCAATGTACAATTAAACTCTTGGCTATTAGGAGCATCTATACATCCCCCAACTCAGAGTAACCACTTTAGCTATTCTTAGCCAGTGAAGCCAAAGAACACAGAAGACTGCGCTCCTGTTCTAGTTCTTTTATGTACCTTGTTTTAAGTCTTCCTTGTTCCCCGCTCCCTCTCACCATAAGGACGTGGCTCTGCTGACTTTTCTCTTTAAAACTCTCTATCCTACCCTGCTCCATTCACCTCTTTTATACTAATTAAAGCCTCCTCTTCCTTCTGATCTCAACTTAAGAGACACTGTCTTGAGGCACCTTTCCTTAGCCTTCCAAATCTGGCTCTTTCATAAAACCATCCTACAGATCATCGTTCTTTTTCATCAGCATGGTTGTCTCAATTTGATGACTGATGTGATGATGTGACCGGTGCATGTCTTCAGTGAACTGTCGGAAAGCAGAGCTCGTGTGCACTGGAGAGTGTATTCCTGTGAGTGTATTCCTGTTCCCTTCCAGGTGCGTGTGGATGACCCAGCAGCCAGGTCCAGCACTGGCCTAAGGCTCCAAACTTCTACAGTTAGAAAATTGGCAAAGATACTGATTTAACTTTGGCGCGTTTGTTAGGCTTCTTCTTCTTCTCTTTTTTTTTTTGGATAACACTTTAAATAACATATGATAGAAAATGAGAAGAGTTTAAGGAAAATAATTTTATTAGTGTTTGTGGCCCTTAATGACTTAAGCCCTAAGTAGGGACTTCATAATTTCAAACTTTCAAAAATGTCTTGTAACATGCAGTAAAATGTGTCTTATTCATGAGAGTCATGTCTATTCTAGGCAACTGTTCTCAGTTTCCATGGACAGAGGAAAAATTAGACGTACATATGTTTTATGGGGAGGAATTTGGACTAAACATAAGAAAGAATTACCTGGCCAGGAAGTTGTTGTTCACTATTACATTAACTCATTTTACAGGAATAAAGGAAATAACATGATTTAGGACAAATGTAACCCAGAAAGAGATAATGAATCAGAAGCCCTCCAAGGTTCCTTTGAGATTTGTTTAGCATATGATTATGAGATTTGGTGAAAGTATGTCATTCCCAGTAAGTAGGTGTAATTTAAAATATGTAAGAAGTTCTACATATGTGCTTGGTAATTTTAAGGGTTATTATATATAATCATTACTGAGATCACTACACAGCTATGTCCTGCCAGTAATCCAAAAAGAAAAATCATTCTAGTTGTCATCAATTATATAAGATAATAAAAATAAACTTAAAGTCTTAGGCAATATTTTAGATTTTGCTCAGAAGTACATTTCTTTGTGTTATAATTAATGACCCTCTATGTGTGATTATTCAGATTATTGAAAGTCTTAGTATTAATCATTCATAATAATTAATTTTAAATATTTGAGTAGTCAGTTCTAAAATAATTGAAATCATTAAAACCTGAATGTTATTAAATCAAAATGACTTAGAAATAAAATAATATTATTAAAATAAGGAATTAAAGACTATAAATTTAGACAATGGGGAAATTAGCAGAACCACTTCATGTCTTTGCCTTTATTTGGTAAAGGATAGACTCTTTCATCCAATAACTTTTTTAATTACCATAATTTTGAAAATGTGGGACTTTTTCTTACATCTTACACAGTATATTGCTTGTCTGGCAAATTGAACACGTGGAGAAAAGAAATATCTTTGTCAAAATGAGCGCTTTATGTAGGACACTTTACATTATATTATAAAAATACATTAATAAATAGGTCCATAGTCTGTAGAATATATAATAAATATCCTGAATTAGTTCTTAAGACTAATGAACTTCTTTTGTCCTAATTTTTTTTTTTTTTTTTTTTTTTTTGAGACGGAGTCTTGTTCTGTCACCCAGGCTGGAGTGCAGTGGCCTGCCTGATCTTGGCTCACTGCAAGCTCTGCCTCCCGGGTTCATGCCATTCTCCTGCCTCAGCCTCCCGAGTAGCTGGGACTACAGGTGCCCGCTGCCACGCCCAGCTAATTTTTTGTATTTATAGTAGAGATGGGATTTCACCATGTTAGCCAGGATGGTCTCGATCTCCTGACCTCGTGATCCACCAGCCTTGGCCTCCCAAAGTGCTGGGATTACAGGCGTGAGCCAACGTGCCCGGCCTTGTCCTAATATTTTTATCCGGCAGATGCTATACTTAACACAGCATTGGATTCTTAATGCCATTTGCAATGTAAAATAATAACACCAAACCCCAGTTTTGAGGTGAAATTAGTATAAATGAAGGTACATGGAATATTTGAAATATAACTGCTAATTTCAGCTTATTATTAATTATATATAGTTATTTTAAAGAAGAGCTGAGACTAATAATTTATCATCTCAACTAAGAATGAAGGATGTTTTAAATTCTGCTACCACCAAAGTAAAGTTTTCTGATTTGCCATCTTCTACTAGGGTCCTCCTTGTCTTCAAATTATACCCACTATGATAGTCCCCTTATCATAATCCAGTGGAAAGGGACTGGATTTTACTTTCTCTAAATTGCTAACATCTAGACAGTGGTGTACCACATTTAAATAGCATTCAGTAAATAGATAAATGCATGCATTAATAAAACATTAATATGTCCCCGTTTTTGGCAAATATCTAATAGAAATGTGGAAATTTAGAGGAAGAAATCTACCCTTTGGAACAAATATAATTGGAAATAATAGTCTTTGGATATCTTTATATGGTAATCATAAAATCTCGGGAATTGTCTTAAATGATTTGCATAGATTAAGTCACTGAATCCTCACAGCAACTTTGTGAAGTGAGTTCCTAATATTCCCATTTTATAAATGAAGAGACTGAAGCAGAATTAGTTTAAATAACTTCCCTAGGGTCATTTGTAATCAAACAATCAATGGGCTTGCTACCCAATGTGCATAGAGGCCAATACCATGGCACAGGCTTGAGAAAAGAGAAGCTGTATTGCTGGTTGACTGGCAAGGAGACAGGAGAAAATGCTCAAATCTGTCTCCCTGAGCTGGGGGCTGAGTTGGGTTTTATAGGAATAGGGTAATGAAGTGTTATCTGATTGGGTCTTGTGATGAGATGATGCTGGGAGGCATGATCTGACTGAATCCTGCCATGGGGTACCACAAGGGCTCCATTTGATTGGATCCTGGATCTTGCCATGCAGTGTCCCCTTTTTAATTCAGTCCCACTTCTTGGGCTGAGCACTTAAGTTCCGCCCATCATTGCAAGTTTGGTTCATTTGGGCATGTTCAGGTTATGGGACCTTCAGCCTGGGAGTCCATGGCAACTGAAAAACTATTCATAACTTTTTTACATAAAAGTTGAAGAACCAGACTGGTTTTGTGTGGTTACACATTCACTTAATAAATGACTGAGCTGGAATTTGAACTCAGGCAGTCTGGCTCTTGTCTGACTCCAGCGCCCAATCTCTTAGCCAATATGCACTATTGCCTGTGATAGAGATATTATTTTTGGTTATTGGGATAATGACAGCCAAGGGAATCTACAGAGTATTATTCCACAAAAATAATTCAAAATACAACCAGGTACGGTGGCTCACGCCTGTAATCCCAGCACTTTAGGAGGCCGAGGCGGGTGGATCATGAGGTCAGGAGATCAAGACCATCCTGGCTAACACTTTGAAACCCTGTCTCTACTAAAAATACAAAAAATTAGCCAGGTGTGGTGGTGGGCACCTGTAGTCTCAGCTACTTGGGAGGCTGAGGCAGGAGAATGGCGTGAACCCAGGAGGCGGAGCTTGCAGTGAGCCGAGATCGCGCCACTGCACTCCAGCCTGGGCGACAGAGCGAGATTCCGTCTCAAAAAATAATAATAATAATAGTTCTAAACACATAAAATTTCTCTATAGGATAACTTATTATTTTCTTAATGCTTGACATAATTTATGCCAAATAAGCTCAGTGGTTCAGCAAAAATATTCAGATATTAAGAAATACCATAAATCATTTAACACTGTGTTAAATACATATAATTTAATTGTCCAAAAGTATTTTCCTGAGTGAAAAAATGATGGTGCAAATTTTGGATATCATAAGACAACTTGAAGAAGAGTAGAGTGCAGAAAGAAGTTATATTTTAGGTGGGCTAGAATAACATAACATTTATGCAATAGCCCCAATTTGTGATATAACACTTCATAAAAATGTTCAACAGTTTACAAGTGCTTTATCTGAAAACAATGGAGAATTAATAGCATAAACTGGGAAACTTACTTTATGATTAACAAAGTTTTTTTAATGAAAATGATTAAAAGTAGACTAAATTGTTTTAAGTATTTCTTTTTCATTCAGCATTCAATTGCCAAGTCATTTCATTCACAGTTTTTAAGGATGTTCTGAAAATTCTGCCATAAGACCCAGGAGATGAAATTATTTGCCAAATGTTGATGTATTATGGGAAAAAATGACTCTGTTTACAACTGTAGCCATGTGAAAATTAAAGTTATTTAATCCCAATTTCAATTAGCCAATTACGAGACAAAGGCAAAGAACTAGTGAAATACTACAAAACACTTTTTTGATATATTATACAATTAAGTTATCATTTTGCTCCAATGGATAAGAATAGGGTTGCCATAGGGGTTCATCCTGATGCTAGGAAGCAGACCATAAAATCTAAAATTACTGGTAGAATTTATAGAGCATAGACTCTGACATTAAGATGTAACACAATTTAATTGAGTAGCACAAATATAATTGTCTTGCCTCATGGCTAAGTATCTCTGTAGAACTGCAATTTTAAAAAATGAAACCCAGCCAACAAAGGCAAGTAAAAAGTCCATAAGACTTATGAACTGTGTCAAAGTGAATACAATAGAAGACTCTCAGTCATAATTCTTTAAATCCTTCTAATTCCTTGATATTCAATATCTTTAATTGCCATAAGGCCCTGAGGTTGCTCCCTCTTAGCTCTTAAGCTGACCTCCTACTAATATGTAGCTCTTTGCTGCTTCTCCCTCTTGGTCTTTATTTTCTACAAGCTGACCTCTCAGCCCTTTTCAAATGAAAATTGATCAATTGATCCTATGCTCTTAGAAAACCTGCATCTACTTCAACCCCTTCTCCTGGTCCTATACCTCAAAAGGCCAAGTTCTAGGGGTCTGTAGTCTCTAATAGTGTGATGATATGGCTACCCTGAGAAGCAACATCTCATCCACGAAACCTTGATCAGCATTTTTCTCTGCAAGTGGCATCGCAGGATTGTGAATTGTAAACAGATAAAAGGATTCTTAGTGGTACCTCTGTCAAGCTCATTACACATTCCAGAATCAATCAAGTCTCCTGCTAGCATTTGAAGAATATCACCAAAAAATTGGTAGCTGCGTTGTTTCCTTTGGACATGCAAGTAGATAACTATCAGTAACTACCAATAATAACAGCCAGTCAGCTCAGGCTGCTGTAATAAAATAGCATAGATTGGGCCGGACGCCGTGGCTCACACCTGTAATCCCAGCACTTTTGGAGGCCCTGGCGGGCAGATCACGAGGTCAGGAGATCAAGACCATCCTGGCTAACACGGTGAAACCCAGTCTCTACTAAAAAAAATACAAAAAAAATTAGCCGGGCGTGGTGGCGGGCACCTGTAGTCCCAGCTACTCAGGAGGCTGAGGCAGGAGAATGGCGTGAACCTGGGAGGCGGAGCTTACAGTGAGCTGAGGTCGCACCACTGCACTCCAGCCTGGATGACAGAGCAAAACTATGTCTCAAAAAAAAAAAAAAGAAAAAGAAAAAGAAAAAATAGCATAGATTGGATGGCTTTAACCACAGACATTTATATCTCACAGTTCTGGAGGCAGAGAAGCCTACAATCAAGGTGCTAGTTCATGATCAGGCCTGGCCCCTCGCTTGTGGTCAGCCTCCTTCCCATTGGGCGTCACGTGGCCTTCCCTGAGTGTGTGGGGGATGGCGAGCGATAAGAAGATCTCTGGCTCCTCGTCCTATGAGGACACTAATCTCCTCATGAGGGCCTCCTTCCAGGATCTAACCTAAACCTCATGACCTGTCAGAGGCCCCATCGCCAAATACCATCATATTAGTGGCTAGGGTTTCAACTTAGGAGTTTTAGAGGGACACAGCATTCGGCTCATAACAAACTGTAAATACAGTCAGCTTCACTAGATCACATTTTCTATTTTGAGAGCCCATTTTGAAAATTTTGAAAGCTTTGAGATTTTGAATATGATCAAAAGTACTGAGAACAAAGAAAATTCATTTGGAAAGACAATTGGTAGTCTGCTCACAAATGAATAATCTGGGACACTTAATAATATATCTGAGTTTTGTTCTACGTTAATGAATAATGTAGGTCCTGGCATCATGGAGAATAATTGCACTTTGCTTCTGCAAACTCCTAATAAGTGTTCCGCCAACAGGCAGGAAAGTAGGGTTTTCTATCGCAATGAAATCTGCAGCTTTATGTCTTTAATCGCTGTGGTTTCATAGGAAGGCAGTTCTTTCTATAGGATAAAACTTGAAAAACATGACTGCATTCAGATTTAAGACAAAAAAAAAAACCTAAAATGGAAAGAGTATTAAAACCATGTCAAAGCATATGGTATTGATGCCTCAGTGTTCCCCAGTGTTCCTGAGTTCAACAGAAAGTTCTAGTAAGGTTGACAGATTTCCATCTCAAGAGTCTGCCTTGTCACTGTTCCCAGGGAAGAGTTTTGCATCGAAGATTGGACACATGCAAAAACAACCCAGAATTACATGTGTGTGGCAGGAAGAGGGGACAATGTCCCTGGAGGCGACATCCAACAAATGCGGGATAGCAATCAGTGGACAGGAAGATTCTGAGACACGTTCCATGGGCTGTCTCAGAGAGTCCCCAGAGGGATTAGCTACATAGCAAATAATACCCCACAGTGGTGACTTTTCACATTATAATTTGCCAATGCGTTTATTGAATCCTTTTATCTGTGTCCTCCTAATATGCTCTGGGAAAGAGGTTGAGGTGGCAAATCCCCACAACCCCATTTGAGTTTTTGATAGAACAGCTGCTGTCCACTTCTGATCAACTGAGGCCCTAGAAAAAGCATGTAAGTCCTACTCCCTCACACTTCTGTAGTGTCACATGTATTTGTCCTTATAAACCTGAATCAATCTGGAAATTCATTGCCAAACATAAGGATTCCAGGAAGTCTAACTTTATCTAAAGGACTTTAATGAAATTAATAAAAAGTAGAAACTTTTAAAAATATTGATCTGTAAACTGCTTAGGACAAAATATGTATAAAACTAAACTGAACTATTAAACTTTACATTAAAATCTAGGGAGTAATAAACATCATTTACTATTTAATTTCTCAAATGGAAGTGACATATTGTCATTGATTCGCAACAGTGAGTGTGGTATCAGAATCGTTTCTGGAATCTTTTCAAACTATACCTCCCTGCTGGAAATTCTGTTATATCCTCAAGTTGTGTTTCAGAAGGCAGAAACTATTTCCACAGTGAGGCACTATTTCGGATATATCATCCCTCAAGAGGAATATGTACAGGGAAAAGAGAATATGTACACTTGATAATGAATATATGTTGTCTGATTTAAAAAGTGTGCAGGTTATTAAGTTGGTAAATTAAAGATAATATATTTACCCATTATTTGTTAGTAAAGGTAATTATTTCAAAATTAGAGTTAAAAAGTTTAAATTTATCACCTATTTGAGTATGTTTAACACACACACACGTATATGTATATATATAATTATATCAAGATTAACAGCTTATAAAAATCATTTCGAAATTTTGGTCTTCAAATATAAGTTGTGTGTTTTGGTCAGGATCTTCAATCATTTATGGCAAAGGTTTCTCACTTCTAAGACTTCCTCTTGCTTTGTTTGTTTAAAGTATCATCGCCTATAATAGGTATCCGAAACTAATGTCTAACTTTTGCTGTAATTTCTAGTTTTCTCTAAAATTCTGGGTCTTCCTTTTTTCTTTTCTTTTGTTTTCTTTTCTTCTTTTCTTTTCTCTTCTCTTCTTTTTCTTCCTGTCTCCCATTCTTCTTTCTTTTTGTTGTTTTTGTTTTATAAATTTAAGTTATGAATTCATGGGAATAAAGCTGTTAAATGTTGTTCGTATCTAAAGGTCTTTGGGGTTTCTCAGATAGCTACTGGATAATGCTCTACTCACATTATTCAAGAAGAAATTTGTAAAGTAATTAGATATGTTTGATACTGTCTATATTCTGATTATCTCAACCACTGTATGAGGTCACTAGATCCCATGCCCCAGAGCCTCTGTGCTGTGATTTAGATGCCCAAAAGACTGTGTGTTTGTTAAGCGAACATTACAACAACCCCCAAGTTAGGCACTCCTTTTTTTTTTCTAATTCTCCCAACTTTTATTTTAGGTTCAGGGGGTATATATGCAGGTTTGATACATGGGGAAATTGTGTGTCATGGGGGTTTGATGTGCATATTATTTCATCACTGGAGCAATAAACATAGTACCTGATAAGTAGTTTCTTAATCCTCACTCTACTTTCACCTTCCGCCCTCAAATAGGTCCTATGTCTTGTCCCCTGCTGTGTGTCCATGCATATTCAATGTTTAGCTTCCACTTATAAGTGATAACATTTGGTATTTGGTTTTCTGTTGCTGTGTTAATTCACGTAGGATAATGGCCTCTAGCTGCATTCATGTTGCTGCAAAGAACATGATTTCATTCTTTTTTATGGCTGCGTAGTATTCCATGGTGTATATGTACCATGTTTTCAACTGCTGATGGTCATTTAGGTTGATTCCATGTCTTTGCTATTGTGAATAGTGCTGCAGTGAACATAGATGAGCATGTATCTTTATGATGGAATGACTTACAGTTCTTGGGGTACATACCCAGTAATGGGATTGCTGGATAGAATGGTAGCTCTGTTTTAAGTTCTTTTATAAATTGTCAAACTGTTTTCTACAGTGGCTGAACTAATTTACATTCCCACCAGCAATATGTAAGTGTTCCTTTCCTGCACGACCTTGCCAGCATCTGTTATTTTCTGACTTTTTAGTAATAGCCATTCTGACTGACGTGAGATGGCATCTCATCGTGGTTTTGTATTTCTCTAATGATTACTGATGTAGAGCGTTTTCTTCATATGCTTGTTGGCCATGTGTATGTCTTCTTCAGAAAAGTGTCTGTTCATGTCTTTTGCCCACTATTTAATGGAGTTGTTTGGTTTTGGCTTGTACATTTGTTTAAGATCCTTATAGATTCTGGGTATTAGACCTTTGTTAGGTTCACAGTTTGCAAATATTTTCTCTCATTCTGCAGGTTGCCTGTTTATTCTGATGTTAGTTTCTTTTGCTGTTCAGAAACTCTTTAGTTTAATTAGGTCCCATTTGTCAATTTTTGTTTTTGTTACAATGGTTTTTGGCATCTTAATCATGAAATCTTTGTCAGGCCTATGTCCAGAATGGTAGTTCCTAGGTTTTCTTCTGGGGTTTTCATAGTTTTAGGTTTTACATGTAAGTCTTTAATTCATCTTGAGTTGATTTTTTTATATAGGATAAGGAAGGAGTCCAGTTTCAATCTTCTGCATATGGGTAGCCAATTATCCCAGCACAATTTATTGAATAGGGAGTCTTTTCCACATTGCTTGCTTTTGTCAACTTTGTTGAAGATCAGATAGTTTTACATGTGTGGCTTTATTTCTGGGTTTTCTGTTCTGCTACATTGGTCTGCTATATGTGTCTGTTTCTGTACCAGTGCCAAGTTGTTTTGGTTACTTTAGCTTGATAGTATCATTTGAAGTTGGGAAATGTGATGCCCCCAGCTTTTTTCTTTCTGCTTAGGATTGCCTTGGGCTCTTTTTTGGTTCCATATGAATTTTAGAATAGTTTTTCCTAGTTCCCTGAAGAATGCCTTTGGAAGCTTGATAGAAATAGTAATTAATCTGTAAATTGCCTTGGGCAGTATGGCCATTCTAACAAAGGTGATTCTTCCTATCCATTAGCATGGAATGTTTTCATATTTGTGTCCTCTCTGATTTTTTTCAGCAGCGTTTTTAATTCTTGTTATAGAGATCTTTCACCTCCCTGGTTAGCTGTATTCCTAGGTAATTTTTGGTGTGAGTATTGTAAATGTGATTGCAATCTTGATTTGCCTCTCACCTTGGATGTTGTTGGTATGTAGAAATGCTACAGATTTTTGTGGAATGATTTTGTATCCTGAAATTTTGCTGAAGTTGTATATCAGATCAATGAGCTATTGGGCAGAGACTATGGGGTTTTCTAGGTGTAAAATCATATCATCTGCAAAGAGAGATAGTTTGACTTCCTGTCTTCTTGTTTGAATGCCTTTTATTTCTTTCTCTTGCTTAATTGCTTTGGCTACGACTTCCAGGACTGTGCAGAATAGGTGTGATGTGAGTGGGCCACCTTGTTTTCTTTCAGTTCTCAAGGGAAATGCCTCCACCTTTTGCTTGTTCAGTATGATGTTGGCTGTAGGTTTGTCATAGATAGCTCTTAAATTTTGAGGTATGTTCCTTCAATATCTAGTTTGTTGAGGGTTTTTAACATGACGGAATGTTGAATTTTATCAAAAGCCTTTTCTGTGTCTGTTGAGATGATCATACGGTTTCTGTTTTCAGTTCTGTTTATGTGATGAATCACATTTATTGATTTGCATATGTTGAACCAGCGTTGTACCCAAGAAATAAAGGCTGCTTGATTGTGGTAGATTAGCTTTTTGATGTGCTGCTGGACTTGATTTGCTAGAATTTTGTTGAGGATTTTTGCATCTGTAGTTCAACATGGATATTGGCCTGAAGTTTTCTTTTTTTGTTGTGTCTCTGCCAGGTTTCAGTGTCAGAATGATGCTGGCCTAATAAATGAGTTAGAGAGAAGTTCTTCCTTCTCAATTTTTGGGAATAATTTCAGCAGGAATGGTACCAGTCTTCTTTGTACATCTGCCTGAATTTGGCTGTGAATTTGTCCGATCCAGGGATTTTTCTGGTTGGCAGACTTTTTATTACTGATTCAATTTTGGACCTTGTTATTGGTCTTTCAGGGTTCAATTTCATCCTGGCTCAATCTTGGGAGGCTGCATGATTTCAGGAATTTATCCATTTCTTTTAGGTTTTCTAGTTTATGTGCATACAGGTGTTTGCAATTGTCTCTGAGAGTTGTTTGTATTTCTGTGGAGTCAGTGGTAATGCCCTCTTTGTCATTTCTGACTGTGTTTATTTGAATCTTTTCCCTTTTTTCTTTATTATTCTAGCTATGGGACTATCAATCTTATTTATTATTTCAAGTAACCAGCTGTTGGTTGCACTGATCTTTGTATGATTTTATTCACATCTGGATTTCATTCATTTCAGACCTGATTTTACTCATTTCTTTTCTTCTACTAGCTTTGGTATTGGTTTGCTCTTATTTTTCTAGTTCCACTAGGTGTGATGTTAGGTTTTAATCTGAGATCTTACTAACTTTTTAATGTGAGCATTCAGCACTATAAACTTTCCTCTTAACATTACTTTAGCTGGGGCCGGGCGCGGTGGCTCAAACCTGTAATCCCAGCACTTTGGGAGGCCGAGGCAGGCGGATCACAAGGTCAGGAGATTGAGACCATCCTGGCTAACATGGTGAATACAAAAATACAAAAAAATTAGCCGGGTGTGGTGGCGGGTGCCTGTGGTCCCAGCGATTCGGGAGGCTGAGGCAGGAGAATGGCATGAACCCAGGAGGTGGAGCTTGCAGTGAGCAGAGATGGTGCCACTGCACTCCAGCGAGACTCCGTCTCAAAAAAAAAAAAATTACTTTAGCTGACTCACAGAGATTCTGGAATATTGTATCTTTGTTTTCGTTAGTTTCAAGGAGTTTCTTGACTTCTGTCTTCGTTTCATTGTTTACCCAAAAGTCATTCAGGAGCAGATTGTTTAATTTTCATGTAATTTTATGGTTTTAAGATATTGTCTTCATATTGATTTTTACTTTTATTGCACTGTGGTCCAAGAGTGTGGTTGGTATGATTTTGGTTTTTTTTTAATTTGTTGAGAATTGTTTTATGGTTAATCATGCGGGCAGTTTTTTAGTAAGGGCCATGTGCAGATGAAAAAATATATATAGTCTGCTGTTGAGTGGAGCATTCTGGAAATGTCTGTTAGGTCCATTTGGTCAAGTGTTGAGTTCAGGTCATGAATATCTTTGTTTTCTGCCTTGATGATCTGTTTAATACTGTCAATGGGGTGTTGAAGTCTCCCACTATTATTGTGTGGTTATCTAAGTTTTTTCGTAGGTCTCTAAGAATTTGTTTTATCAATCTGAGTGCTCAGTATTGGGTGCATTTATATTTAGGATTGTTAAGTCTTCTTGTTGAATTGAACTCTTTATCATTATGTGATGCCTTTCTTTGTCTTCTTTTTGGTTGTTATTGGTATAAACTCTGTTTTATCTGAAATTAGAATAGCAACCTTGTTTGTTTTTGTTTTATATTTGCTTGATAGATTTTTCTTTATTCTTTTACTTTGAGCCTATGGGTGTCATTGCATGTGAGATGGGTCTCTTGAAAACTGCATGTCATTGGGTCTTGCTTTATTCAATTGCCACTCTGTGCCTTTTAAGTATGGCCTTTAGCCCTTTTACATTTAAGGTTAATATTGATATGTGCAGATTTGATCCTGTCATGTTGGTAGTTGGTTGTTATGCAGACTGGATTACATAGTTGCTTTATGTCGGTGGTCTATGTACTTCAGTGTGTGTTTGTGGTTGCTGGTAACAGTCTTCTGTTCCCATGTTTAGCACACCCTTAAGGATCTCTTGTAAGGTGAGTCTGATGGTGGTGAATTCCCTTAGCATTTGTTTGTCTGAAAAGGATCTTATTCCTCCTTTGATTATAAAGCTTACTTTGGCTGGATATGAAATTCTTGATTAGAATTTCTTTTCTTTAAGAATGCTGAACATAGGCCCCCTATCTCTTCTGGCTTGTATAGTTCCTGCTGAAAGGTCTGCTGTTAGCCTGATGGGGTTCCTTTTTAAGTGACCTACCCCTTCTCTCTAGTTGTCTTTATTATTTTTTCTTTCAGGTTGACCTTGGAGAATCTAATAAATATGTGTCTTGGGAATGGACATCTTGTGTAGTATCTCAAGGGATTCTTTGCATTTCCTGAATTTGAATGTCGAGCTCTTTAGCAAAGTTGGGGAAATTTTCATGGACAGTTATCATCAAATATGTTTTCCAACTTGCTTGCTCTCTCTTCCTCTCTTTCAGGCCAATGAGCCATAGAATTGGTCTCTTTACATAATCCCATATTTCTCTGAAGTTGTGTTTATGCTTTTTTATTCATTTTTGTCTGATTGAGTTGATTCAAAGATCTGGTCTTCAAGTTCTGAGATTCTTTCCTCAGCTTGGTCTATTCTGCTGTTAACAATTCTGATTGTATTATGAAATTCTTGTAGTGAGTTTTTCAGCTCTGTCAGATGGGTTTCATTCTCAGAACGGTGATTTTGTCGTTCACTTCTTGCATCATTTAAATAAATTCCTTAGATTCCTTTGATTGTGTTTCAACTTACTCCTGAAACTTGGTAATCTTTGTTCCTGTCCCAATGCTGAATTCCATGACTGTCATTTCAGCCTGATTAAGAACCACTGCTGGGTCATTTGGAGGTAAGAAGACATTCTGCTTTTTGAGCTGTCAGAGTTCCTGTACTGGTTCTTTCTCTTCTGTGTGGGCTGATGTTCCTTTAATGTTTGAAGTTGCCGTCCTTTGGATGGGGATTTTCACTTGTATATTCTTTGATTCCCTTGGGGGTTGACTATGGTATAAAGTGAGTTAAGTGAACTGGTTTCATCTCTGGAAATTTTCAGGGGGCCATACCTGGGCTGTGTACTCTTACCCTGGAAGGTGGTACTAGGCCTCCAGCTTTGTTCTCTGGCCCCTCCAGGTTAAGCACCTGTTGCAGGAGGTGCTTGGAGGAGCCAAGGTGTTCCCAGTCCACTGGCAACAAGACTCTGATGGGGAGTGCCAGCCAAAACACTTCACCAGGGTAGTGACAGTAGGGTCCACATTGGCTGGCATTTCTAATGAAAGTAAACCTTCTCCATTATTTGTGCATAGAGATAACATTTTGCTTTATGGTTTAAAAATTGATCACAAGCTCATTACCTACATTAACATTTCTCTTGACCTTGTGACTACGGTTTATTCACTTTGTTTAGTTATAGTGGTAGCCCAGCTGATAAAGTCTTAGCAGACTTCCCTCAGCTCACTCTGCATAGGGTCTTTGACAAGAGTGTCATTAGTATAGAACAACACGTGGCACTTCTAGGAAAACAACATCATTGCTTATATAATCTTTTGTTGGCTACTTCCCCAGAAAACCTTTAAACTCTGCTACTAACTAAATCTAGCTACTGATTGAGGGAAGCAGTCTACCATGAGCCTTGCGTAGTTCTGAAGGTTCTTGCTGGGTATGTCAAGAATGCAAGTCTCCTTACTTCACACCCATTAGGATAATTAATATCAAATGAACAGAAAATAACGAATGCTGATGAAGAGGTAGAGAAACTAGGGCCTTTATGGTTACTGGTGGGAATGCAAAATGATAGAGTTGCTGTGGACCAGAGTATGGTGATTTCCCAAGGAATTAAACACAGAATTACCATATGACCCAGCAATTCCTCCAAAATTAATTTCAAGCAAGGACTCAAACAGATATTTGTACATCAACATCCATATTAGCATTATTCACAGTAGCCAAAAGTAGAAACAACCCAAATATCCATTGGCAGATAAAGAGATAAAATGTGGCATAGACATAGAGTAAAATATAATTCATCCTTAAAAAGAAAGGAAATTCTGCCACATGCTACAATATAGATAAATTTGAAAGACCTTACACTAAGTAAAATAAGGTAGACACAAATGGAGATATATTTTATGATTCTACTGATATGAGGTACCCAGAGTAATCAAATTCATAGAAACAGAAAGTAAAATGGTCATTGCCTGGGGCTGGGGGGAGTAAGGAATTGATAATTAGTGTTAATGGGTACAGAGTTTCAGTTCTGCAAGATGAAAAAAATTCTGGAGATGGATAGTGGTGATGATGGCACAACAATGTGAGTGTGCTTGCCACTGAATTGTACACTTAAAGTCATTAAAATGGTAACATTTCATGTTATGTTTATTTATCACAGTAGAAAATTTGAGATATGTAGATGTAGACAAATAAGAATAAATACCTGTGTCAAAAGGGAAAAAAATTTAAATGCAAGGCTCTGAATGCTCTTTTTCCATACCATTTCTCTAGGTTGTATTTCTAGCAGCAACCTTGAGAGGTGAAAAAATGTTTCCCTTTGGAACGTTAAGCAGACTTGTCTACTGCTTAATGTAAAAGCAGTACATCCCCCAAGCTCAGTGTTTCTTTGCTGCAATACAAATTTATTATAGCATGTTCACCATTGACTTGGGTTCCTCTGCTTTATCCTTGTGAGATTTGGGGGACAAAGTTGACTGATACAACATGACACTCACATTAGCAATGCCGTGAGTAATGAAATGTTTGTCTCTGATCCAGGACTGTTGTGTCTTCCCCCTATTCATGAAACAGTAACAGACTAACTTATTAGCTTATAAATGGGGTAAAATCTCAGACACTACATTTCCTTGTTAATATAGGTGACTGTTATTTGTGTCTACCAACTACTGAAACTTTAATCATGCACTTTTGGGACTAATGTTCCTCTACAGAACCTTGATGTAATATTAATGTGATCCAGGTATATATTTTACAGTATAGGCTATAATTTTTGGATATCTGTTATAGAATCTGCCTTTTTACCAATGCTTAGTTCTTCTCAAATGGTTAAACTGATAGGTCTAGTGTAAGCATACAACCTTGCTATAGCTTTAAGGCTTAGCTACCACAAGTAGAGTAGATATTCCTCTGAGACTTTTTATGAATCTAACAAGCTATGATAACAAAGGAGTTCTCTAATTTCGTTGGGTACTTCAATCAAACACTGAAAATGATTAATGACTTTGAGGGCAACACAATATTCAAAATGAATCTTGGTTATTAAAATTATAGGCTATAATTTAGTTGATATATTAAAAACCACAGAGAACTTTCTAGATGACTACTGTATAAAAGTAGAAGCCCTTATTGGTTTTTCCATCAACTGGTAAAACCAGTTGCTGAAACTGATTTTATTAATCCAAAATACTTATTCATATTTCAAGAAAATCTCAAAGAAAATTTCTTGGAAATAATTTATTTGTACTTAGCATAACCAAGGATCAGTTACCAAAGTGTAAAGTTTTAAAAGTCATTTACCAAAGAAGAAACTTTTCATTTTAATTAAAGCTTTCGTTTGAGCTAAAGTTCTACTCCTAGATAAAATGTTAATGTGATCTTGTCCCAAATTTCTCATAAACTCTCATTTTGTAAATGTTACAAGAAGGTACGTGACTCTTGGCTTGAATCCTGCTCTGACAGATTCCATATCATTGAATTTGTATCCTGTCAGTATTTACAAAATTAATATATGTGCAGTCATGTGCACAATTAATACAAAATGTATTTCCAAGAGGGATATGATTGGATGTATCCCTCCAAGATAATGAGTTTATTGGAAGAAACACACTTAGCATTAGAACTATGCTATAAAAAGCCATTTTGATTATTTTTTTAATCGCAAAGAATCTGTTTAAGCTCTATGAAAAACACTAGAGAAGACATGGTTCTAAGGATAAAAGTGTTTAGGGTCCTATAATCTGGACATCCAGACCCATGTTAAATCTGACCTAGAGGCCTATTAAAAAGCCTCCAGAAGCAGACAACTTCCAGTAGACATATTCCTTCAAGAGTCTACATATCAGGAAGATGACATTAAAAGTATATTCAGTCATATGAAGCTTTCACTCAAGATATTTCAGGTAAAACTTCATGATCAGAAAAACATGCCCTTATTTTGATTCTATTTTATCACTTGGATACCCCTCTTTGTCTCACTTTTTTCATTTTTTCTTAGTTCAAGGTATTAGGCTATGAAAATTGAAATCCCAGTCATTTTTCTCATTTTCTTGACTAATTTCATTCTGATAAACCCTGTGAACTCATTGCAACTTTCCAGAATATTACTAATGCTAAAGCATCTAGACGTTATGGCTAAAATGCAGGTCCTCAAAATTAGCTGCAGTTGCTGATATTTTCTAGAGCCTCATGAGAAAGATAATGGCATATGGAATTAATGATAAATTATGACCAATTATTTTCTCATAAAGCTACACAGAAATCATTGCATGCTTTTTCTAAACTCTGGGATTTTATTCTGAATACAAAAATTAATTAAATTCAGGTGACATTTGATAAATAATTGTGACTATGAAAAACATACTTGTGTCTCCACAAGATATACTCTTGGAATTATTATTCTTATGAAGAAATCATGATTTTCTATAATCATATTCAAACATAAACATTGTTTTGGACATCGTATTCTGGCCTTTCCATTTACTGAAACAAACCATTCAGTTGCTCATATTTTATTGAATCAATGTGGTAGTTTATAAAGAGGGACTCAAGACATCAGAATTTATCATATATATGTACATGTATACATATACGCTTCATTTTGTGTGTGGGTATATGTGTGCTTGTGTGTGTAGGTGTGAGTGTTTGTGTGTAGGTGTTGAGAGGTGACAGCGTGCTGGCAGTCCTCAGAGCCCTCGCTTGCTCTCGGCACCTCCCCTGCCTGGGCTCCCACTTTGGCGGCATTTGAGGAGCCCTTCAGCCCCCACTACACTGTGGGAGCCCCTTTCTGGGCTGGCCAAGGCCGGAGCCCACTCCTTCAGCTTGCAGGGAGGTGTGGAGGGAAAGGCGCAAGCGGGAACCCGGGCTGCATGTGGCGCTTGCGGGCCAGCTGGAGTTCCGGGTGGGCATGGGCTTGGCGGGCCCCGCACTGGGAGCAGCCGGGCAGCCCTGCTGGCCCCGGGCAATGAGGGACTTAGCACCCGGGCCAGCGGCTGCAGAGGGTGTACTGGGTCCCCCAGCAGTGCCGGCCCACCAGTGCTGCGCTCGATTTCTCGCCAGGCCTTAGCTGCCTTCCCACGGGGCAGGGCTGGGGACCTGCAACCCGCCATGCCTGAGCCTCCCACCCACTCCATGGGCTCCTGTGCAGCCCGAGCCTCCCCGACGAGCACCACCCCCTGCTCCACGGCGCCCGGTCCCATCGACCACCCTAGGGCTGAGGAGTGCGAGCGCACGGCGCGGGACTGGCAGGCAGCTCCACCTGCAGCCCCTGTGCGGGATCCACTAGGTGAAGCCAGCTGGGCTCCTGAGTCTGGTGGGGAGGTGGAGAGTCTTTATGTCTAGCTCAGGGATTGTAAATACACCAATCAGCACCCTGTGTTTAGCTCAAGGTTTGTGAATGCACCAATCGACACTGTGTATCTAGCTGCTCTGGTGGGGCCTTGGAGAACCTGTGTGTGGAAACTCTGTATCTAACTAATCTGATGGGGAGGTGGAGAACCTTTGTATCTAGCTCAGGGATTGTAAACGCACCAATCAGCGCCCTGTTAAAACAGGCCACTCGGCTCTACCAATCAGCAGCATGTGGGTGGGGCCAGATAAGAGAATAAAAGCAGGCTGCCCGAGCCAGCATTGGCAACCCGCTCGGGTCCCCTTCCAGACTGTGGAACCTGTGTTCTTTTGCCCTTTGCAATAAATCTTGCTACTGCTCATTCTTTGGGTGCACGCTGCTTTTATAAGCTGTAACACTCACCGTGAAGATTTGCAGCTTCACTCCTGAGCCCAGTGAGACCACCAGCCCACCGGGAGGAACGAACAACTCCAGACGTGCCACCTTAAGAGCTGTAACACTCACCACGAAGGTCTGCAGCTTCACTCCTGAGCCAGCGAGACCACGAACCCACCAGAAGGAAGAAACTCCGAACACATGTGAACGTCAGAAGGGACAGACTTCCAGATGCGCCACCTTAAAAGCTGTAACACTCACCGCGAGGGTCCGCGGCTTCATTCTTGAAGTCAGTGAGACCAAGAACCCACCAATTTCGGGCACAGTGTTAGTGTGTGTGTGTGACTGTGTGTGTGTATGTGTGTAGGTGGGTGTATGTGTGAGTATGTTTGTGTGTGTGTAGGTGTTTCTACCTTATCCAAGTTGTTTCCCAACTAACATGCATGATCCATAATTTATCCTTGACTATGGACTCCGCAGTAAACAAAGCACCTCAGGTTTTAGAAACTCAACAGAATAGCAGCAACGTGTTGACTAGGATAGTCCTAAGTAATAGATAATTGGCAATTTAATGTCCTTCCAAGAGAAAATCTTTACCATACCTGAAATATCTGGAACCTGAATAAACATTAGGTAAGTAAAATTGATTTATTCGATCTTAGGAGTTATTTTTCTGGCTAAGCTAAACCCAAGAAAAACAGATGCTAAGCGAGCTTCAAATATTTCTTAAAATACTTGGGATTATTCCCAAACTTTTTATCTTTTTTAACCTTCCCATTATCTTGATTCCTTTTTTTTTTTTTTTTTGAGATGGAGTCTTGCTCTGTCGCCCAGGCTGGAGTGCAGTGACGCCATCTTGGCTCACTGCAAGCTCCGCCTCCCGGGTTCACGCCATTCTCCTGCCTCAGCCTCCCTAGTAGCTGGGACTATAGGCGCCTGCCACCGCGCCCAGCTAATTTTTTTGTATTTTTAGTAGAGACGGGGTTTCACAGTGTTAGCCAGGATGGTCTGGATCTCCCGACCTCGTGATCCGCCTGCCTCTGCCTCCCAAAGTGCTGGGATTACAGGCGTGAGCCACCGTGCCCAGCCTATCTTGATTCTTATATCTTGCTTCACAGCCATAACCCTGACCTGACATTCAACTCATAATACAGTGTTGAAGAAAAAAATAAAACCTCTATAGGAAAAATCTGTTCATCTGGGAGCTGGATTTTAACCAAAGAAAACAGAGATATAAGATATATTTTAAAGGGATATGATGCAGTCTGATTTAATTGTGTGCAGAGTGGCAATAGAAGGAGAGTGGCACGTAATGCCTGGACACAGTTTGTCCCAGCAGAACTGTCGAGCCTTTTCAGATAATCTAGAAATAACTGAAAGTTTTCTCTGTTGACTATCCCAGAGACTGATCCCTTAGTGTCCCTCTTGTCAGTCAGTATACTCAGGATAAAGAAAACTAAACTAATTTTTCAGACTTTTTTTTTTTAAATGCCTCTGCCCTTTTGTTTTATAAATCCAATTTTTATCTCTGATAACAATCTATTGATTGTTCTCCCACATATATTAAAATTGCTTGTTGATAACTAAACTGACATGGAGTTATTTTTGACAACACAAAAATGTAGAGTACAATACAGTTGCATTTGAAATCAATAAGACAAGTGTAGTCTATTATTATTTAGGGGCAAATGTCTGGTTTGTTTGATAAAAGTAATATTAGACTCCTACCTCCCACAATTTAGATATACAAATTGCAGGTAAATTTTTATAATTTTACATATATTTGTCAGAAGAAAACAGAAAAATATAATAAAGTTCAAATACAAATTATAAATCTTTATGCCATCTGTCCCGCCAATTAGAAAAAAGTCATAAAATTAAATGAGATGTTGAGTGGAGGACTGCCTCAATACTTTCTGCTTAAGATGTGTGTCTAAGACAAAATGGTAGCTAAAGATAGAGATAAAAAGGGTTACTGTGCATATAATGAAGGACAACTTACAGCATTTAATAATAGATTTAACCTGCAGAAAACACACATCAAAGTTAATATTTATATTCACAAACTTGGTGATTGAAGGTATTGTGAATTTCACACTATTTGAATGTAATGGCAGAGTTAAGAGATTATAAACCAGTCTGAAATATTACTTAAATGTGACTGTGTCTCATCTGCATGCAAATAGCAGTTATTTTTTACATTCCTCTTTTTTATTTTTCTAAGGCCAGAAATTAAATATTTATACATGTAAGAACTTGCTTTTTTCCCTTAACTCTCCAAGAGTATTCTTATCTGGTTTTATTAGAATAATACGGCCTCTGGGAGCAAAGATACCGCCTAGCACTCAGCACTGGAAGTCAAGGTGGAGAATATTTCCAAGGCAACCATGACCTTCCCTTTGGTGCTATGTTACACAGTTTGGAAGGTAATTCAAACAGTACATAACATCAGCATGCTGAACATCAAGAACTTGGCTTCATTGAAGGTGTCAGGCAGGCTGCTGGCCAGGAAAGCCAAGATGAAGCTCCCCAGTGCCAAAAAGGTCAAGAATCCCAGAACAGAGTGGAAGGCAAAGAATACCTCATCATTGAGAGTCCTGATGGCACTCTTTGATCCCATGCCAAATTCCAGAGAGTTACTTGGATAAGGAAACAGATGAAAATAACTGTGCTAAATACTCCCAGTCCCCAAAACCACTTTGGCTTTCTCTCTGATGCTGTAGCCTTACAGGCTATAAGCACAGTGATAGTTTTAGCTAACGCAGTTGAAACAACCACAGTAAAAATGATTCCAAATGTTGTCTGTCAGAGGATACAAGTGACTGTGTTTGTACAGCCAGTGAAGAGCAAGGAGCAGAAGAAAACAGACAGAGAGATGTCGCTGAGAGTCTTGACTATGAGTGTGTGTATGTGCTTCACAAAGATCATAAGAACCATGGCTGTATTAGTCCATTTTCACACTGCTGATAAAGATATATCAGAGACTGGGTAATTTATAAAGGAAGAGAGCCTTAATGGACACACAGTTCCACGTGGCTGGGGAGGCCTCACAATCACGGCTGAAGGTGAAAGGTACGTCTTACCATGGCGGCCTGCAAGGGAGCACGAGAGCCAAGCGAAAGGGGAAACCTTTTAATAAAATTATCAGATCTTGTGAGACTTAGAACAGTATGGGAGCAACTGCGCCCATGATTCAATTATCTCCCACCAGCTCCCTCTCACAACACGTGGGAATTATGGGAGCTATAATTCAAGATGAGATTAGGGTGGGGACACAGCGAAACCATACCAATGGCAGTGAGGACAGAGAAACAGAGAGCTATGCTGGCCAGTGCTGTCCCCAGTGCATCTTCAAAATCCAGGAAGGTCACAACTCTGTGAGGCAGTGATCTCTCTCACTGAATACTGGTTGTCTGGACATTTTGCACATTCATTGGAGTCTGATTTTAAAAAGTCAAAAGCTTATTGTCTCAAGTTCTGAAATGCTTCCTTTTTTCACAGGACTAAACAATGTTAACATTAGTCATCTTAAAGCACATTGTCCACCTATTCATATTTCATGAAATTATAAGATGCTACAAATTAACTCATTCCAGTTTAGCAGTATTTATCCCCCTTGTCATTTGTATGAAGAAAGATTTTTTTATCTTTTACATAGATGTGCATGCTACTCCTATTTTTTATCTGATGATGAGACCATTACAATCTTTAAGACATTCCAAATATCTATTTGGCAGGCTAAGCCTTAAATGTATTCATTTATACAAGAAATTTATTCGTTTACACAAGAAAGCTTTAACTGGCGAGCCAGACCCTTAGTTGAATTCTAGAAATACTGCAATGACCAAGGCATACTGCTTTTTTCAAAATTAAAAAAAACACACCCTCAAACTCCCATTAGATTGACCATGAGACATTAAGTTGCACTGGTCCAGAATCTGGGCATTACTCATGATTTTTTACTTCACAAAAAAACACAACTAATACATCAGTGAATCCTCTTGACTCTCCCATCAAAATACTTCCTAATTCTAATCACTTCTTGTCACTTCCACTTGGCCGTCCTGATCTAAGACAATGTAATCTCTACCTAGATTATTGTAATAAACCCCAGTGGCCTGCCTACTTCCAATTCCCTGAGTCAACTTCAGTCTATTTTGCAAAAAGCAGGCAGTTACTCTTTAACAATCAAATCATTTAACTGCCATGCTCAAAGCTTTCCAATGGCTCTTAATTACACTTTAAATCAAAATTTTTATCATGTTTCTAAATCTCAGACCTCACCTCCTACCACAATTTCTTTTTGCTGTATTTTCCAGCCATCCACATTAGCTGCCTTGATTTACTTTCAAGTTTACAAACTCCTGCCCCAAGGCCTTTGAACTTCTAGTTCTTTTGTCTTGAATATTCTTTCCTCAGAATGTAACAAGACTCATTTACCTACTAATAGTTTTGATATTTGTCTCCTTCAAATCTCATATTGAAATATGATCCCCAATGTTTAAGGCAGGGGCTAATGGGAGGTGTCTGGGTCATAAGGGTGGGTCCCCCCTGGATGGCTTGGTGCCTTCCCTCCAGTAAGGGGTGAGTTCTTGCTCCATTAGTTCATGAGAAAGCTGGCAATGTTCTACTGATTAGAACATTAAATGTATCACATGAATGATCACATGATTGATAAATGAGGGAAAGAATGGCACTTTGTAGGTCTAACCCAAATCCTAATCAATTTTTGTATTAATGGGGACGCTGAAGAACGGCTAGAAACAAATTGTTTGTTGACCTATCTTATTGGAAA